>NC_000011.10:99293636-99596667 GCF_000001405.40 Homo sapiens | reverse complement strand
TTTTTCCTCCCACATGTTTATGTAATGGTACCAAGTATACTAATATACAGTCTATGTTAATTTTACTTCTGAAGCAAAGACATATAAGAAAACATTTCTTTAAGATAATTTGCTTCAGACTTCTTTATGAAGCTTATGAGCTTTTTCCCTAAATCTGTGATTAGTGGGTGTTTATGAGATGTTTACAAAATGCTGATTGAATGAATGTGTGTTAAATAAGAGATTCACATAAGAGATAGTAGCCCTTGGTAGTTTGCTGTGATCTTTTCTTCACATTGCATTTCTATGAATAAAAATCTATATTGTCTTCTGAGTTTCCAGAACTCCTTGCTCTTACTATGCTATTAGTAGGATAGTCAATGACTGAATTCATCTCTTCAGCAGGATTCCAGGTTACTTAAACTCATATCTTAATCCTATCTTTTGGTATAGGACGACATTTCTCAGCCACAAAGTAAATGATCTCTGTAATTTTTAGCAAAGTCCTGAAGTGGCTCCAAAATTTAGTAATGGTCTTCTTGACTATCCTGCAAAAGCTTTAATTTAGATTGTGATGCCTGAGCCTTGGAAAGTATCTTCACCAAGGCAAGACCCAAAAGATTATCTGGGTCTCTTAGATCAGTGATCCTCAAACTTTAAAGCGTGTCTTGAATCAGGGGGATCTTGCTGAAATGCAAATTTCGGAGTCTGTAGATTGGGTTAAGATTCTGCATGTCTAACAAGTTCCCAAGTGATACTGATGTGGCTGGTTAGGGACTTAGACTTGAAGCACAAAGGCTTTAAAAGGCCTTAAACCCTTATGAGGGATATGATGCACCACACTAAAGTTCAATATTTATTGATTTTAATTATAAAGATCACACATTTCTTGCAACTAATAGTATATACAGTCATATATATATATATATGGCAGAAGGAGGAATTCAGTGAAGTATCAGCATTATAAAAATTGAGATTCATACATCGAGGACAAAGCCTCTGTATTGTTAGTTTTTCTTTATTTAGAATAAGGTATTAGAGAAAAACACTGGTAATTCATACATAAACTGTGTGCTTTATGGCTTATCATATGTTCCTGATTCCTGTGGCATATTTACCTTTGCTTTTCCACAAATCGCTTTTTAATATTGCACTTTACCTATTATTTTTACTAATATTTCATGTTGATACTTGTTTAAAAGAGACATGTTTGAGAGGTTTAGAATATTTTCATATTAAGTCCACTTATCTTAAAACAAAGACTGAGTTATGGGTAAGGAAATCATTGGTACTAAGGAAATACATAAAAATATTTCCCTTATTTTATTTTTTAATATATAATTGACACATAATAATTGTACATATTTATGGGGTACACTGTGATGTTTCAGTGCATATATACAAAGTATAATGACCAAATTGGTGTAATTACCATATCAATCACTTTAAACGTTTACCTTTTTTTGTAGTGGCAACATTTAAAATATTCTAGCTGTCTTGAAATATACAGTACATTGTTCTTTGCTATAGTCACCCTAGTGTGTAACAGAACACTGAAACTCATTCTTCCCATCTAACTAACTTTGTACCCATTGACCACCCTCTTCTGGTCCCCCCATCTCCCCACTACCTTACCAGCCTCTGGTAACCACTATCCTACTCTCTACTTTCAGGAAATCAACTAATTGATTCTACATATGAGTGAGATCATGCAGTGTTTGTCATTCTGTACCTGGCTTATTTCACTTAATGTTGTCTTTAATGATCTGTGACTTGATGAGAATAATGATGGAAACAGTCCATATTATCACCTATGTGTCCTATCAAAAATCAACTAGAAAGTGAGGATTACCACACCAGGGTCTTTCTGAATGAGATGAAAACACCACCTTTTACATTGTTGTGCTGGATTTAAATGCTACCACTTACAGGGTTGTACTGATCTAAAGCAGCACCATTAACAGCGGTGTGGCAAACCATCGTTAACCACCTGCAGCTTTGTGCTGGGCAAACCTGATGCTACCTATTGCTTTGTGACTAAAGTACTTCTTTTCACAGTTGCACTCCAAGTTAAGAGCTCATATTGATAGAACCGGCCAAAGTGAACCACAAATCCCACTGTATCCTATTATGTGCTGGGTGGATTCTAATAGTTAACCTTTACCTGTTCCTAAAGTACAGGACCCTTCTTAACAGTGCACAGGTGAAGAACAACTGCATGCTATGAATTGAGCTTACACAATGGTCTAAACGCAAAGAAACAGACCAAGACTACCTTCTGAGTGCAAGCTTTGTCCAGATATCAGCAACATCCCCCAGACAGGCAGAGTGTTAAAGCCTCACTTGTCTGCATTAGCTGCAGCTTTTCACAGTACTGCACTTAATGGAAAAAGCTACCAACCAAAGCACTCCACTCAGCAAAAGTGTTTGTAGCAAATAAACACTACTTTCCACAATGCTAGAAGAGTAGACAAGGCTAGGTCATGTAAGGTTGAGGATAAAATGCTTCTTCACAATAAAGCAACACTATCTGCTGAATCCATTAAAAAGTATAACAATACTGGATAGAGCATGCATGAAAAATAGAGACTATTCTAGGCAGAACAACAATCAGGCCTATATAGTAATTGTAATCATCAGATATGTCCATAGAACATCCCAGTTAAAATGCACCAATTCTAAAGAGGGAAAAATCCCTAACAACACCACAATCTCTGTATATAAAAGAGAGGACACACTTCACGCTGTTGACCTCTGACAAAGGCATATATTAAGATAATTGGCACATTCCAGTGATTGATCTCATCTTGGCATTACACTGGGAATAAGAAAGAGATTCTGGAAAACACTCAGAAGTAGAGATGGATATAATCCACATCATGGGAATCTGGCAGAAGTTACACATTCTGGCCTAGATCCTCTGTAAACACAGAAGAAGGAGAGGTTGAAAACAATAATACAGGAATAGCTTTTAAATGGTGGGATTTTGTTGATGGGAAGAACAAAACAACCTAAAATTTGTTAAAATACTAACTTTGTTTTTCAATACCCAAAAAGTATTTTCTATTAATATATCTGCTTGATATAGAATTAATTAGTTCCTGCAACCATAGAAACACAACACTTTTCTATGATGAAGATAGTGAAGATAAGAGAAAGAAAAAATTACTATTCTGTCATAGCATGCTTTTGTGGCCACATGATGATACATACTTTTAATAAAAGTAGTTTAGGAGTGAAACTGCACTGACGGGGGTCCCCAGTGTGTGACAGAATCACTTAAAGAATCAAACAACTGACAGTTCCTTTCAAATCAGTGACAAGAGTTTACATTCCATTTTTATGTCTTATGTGCCTTGTTGGCCTGGAACACAGAGTTGTTGTTATTTATTTATTTTTATTACATATCCTTCAGGCATTCTAGCAATCAAGGGGATATTACAAGATAAGATCAAAAATCTTTATGCTCTTAATCCATAAACAGCTAAAATATGCATTTGGATTTTAGGGTTATAATGAAGGAGAGAAAACACTCTCCATCAGAATAGGGAAATCCAGGGCCAAAAGTTAGAGAGGTATCTAAGCTAGTTATAAAAGCCAGTCTTGGTAGGGAAAAATCATTTATTTACACATTCTTGCTAAAAATCTATTTGTTGAAAGCCTATGTTGTCATATTCTATGAGTTGTCATATCTATTACCATTGCCTCCCTTTTTCTCTCACATTTCGTTTGCAAAACATTAAAAAATGTTTTTGCTTCTAATTTTAACATACATCCAGAAGCTGACAATTAAGCTCCACATCCTCTGTTACCATGCTTGTCCAACCCACCATCATTTCTTACTCAGACTACTATATTCACCTCCTCACATTCTTCCCACTCACCTCCTACAGTTCCTCAAAACAATCCTTCTGCTTTTGAAATATGATCATGTTCTACTTCAAATTTACAAAGAAAAAACAAACAAAAATATTTACATGATATTAATTTTACATTCCCCTTAGTTACTCTTATATCTTGGTACCTTTTTTTCCCTTTTCTTTTCTTTCTTTTTTGTCTAATTTTTTGAACGCTTCAACAGAGAATTTTTAAGGGGAATTTTCTCTACTCATGATGTCCAGTTCTTGACCTCTGTTTCACTTCCCCAACTCCAGCTTGGCGTCTTCCCATGTTATCATACTCAAATGGCTGTGTCTCCATCTCCATCATATTTGTCATCATTGCAGCATTTGATATGCTGACGTCTTCCTCATGTTTAGATCATTTCTTTAACTTGGTTTCTCTGACTTATGCTCTGCTGGCTTGCTTTCTACTTTGCTGGCAACTTGTTCTTGAGTTTTTATCTCTATTCCTTCCCCGGACATTGTTTAAACTTATCTGCAGATTTTATAGGAACTTCTACTGTTACTCATCTAATAACCCCTCTCTAGGAAATCTCATCCTGTTCCATGGCTTTTAAAGCCAGAGATATCTTGAAAACAGTCAACTTTGTGTAGATTTCTATCACTGACTTCTGGAGACTCCAGACTTATATATCCAACCACCTAAGCAACCTCTGTTTAGAGGAATCTCAAATTTAAGATATTCAAAGTGGAGCTCTTAGTTTTTCTTTCAAATTTCATATGCTTCCAATCTTCACCCTTTAGTAAACAGTCCACCTGTTTAAAACTATACTTAGCTGCTCAAGGCAAAAACTTAGGAATTGCCCTTGTTTTCTTTCCATATTCTTAAAAAAATTGTTACTTTTCTCCATCTCTATTGGAATTTCAATATTGATTTTTATTTTTCCATTATACTAAGCAATTTTAAGTGTCAAAATACTGGTATTTCAGTTTGCATAAAATCTTTATTTTGGGCATTTTCCTGCAAATGTTTGGCACTGTATATTTTTCTTACTCTCCCCTTTCCTGCCTTCTCTTATCCTTATTCAGGACACCTGTATCTCAAGTTCCCCCAGCCTCTCTTTACTCCACAATTCTTACAATATCCATGACAGTATCTCGTTATCTCTCTTCCCGCACCAGCTGCCAAATAAAAAGGTTTTGTTGAGGGGCTGGGCGTGGTGGCTCACGCCTGTAATTCCAGCACTTTGGGAGGCTGAGGTGGGTGGATCATGATGTCAGGAGATGGAGACCATCCTGACTAACATGGTGAAACCCCATCTCTACTAAAAATACAAAAAAATTAGCCGGGCATGGTGGCACGCGCCTGTAGTCTCAGCTACTCGGGAGGCTGAGGCAGGAGAATTGCTCGAACCCAGGAGGCAGAGGTTTCAGTGAGCCAAGATCACGCCACTGCACTCCAGCCTGGGCGACAGAGCAAGATTCTGTCTCAAAAAAAAAAAAAAAAAAGGTTTTGTTGAGTCATGTAAAAAGAGTACTCTAAAATAAGCAGATGTCTGGTGGAGAGGAGAAGAGGTAAATCATGAGATGGGCTCTGCTGGTGTTAGCAGGGGTTTAAATTTGCTGTCCAAGAAAAAGCTATCCCAACCTCCCTCCAGAGAACCATCAAAAAGATACACGGGCCTAAGATAAAAGATCAACTAAACGTCTCGTAAAGCCTCTAAACAGGGCAGGAAAGCCTGGGCCAACGTGGAGATGTTACATCAAAGGCAGCAGCAGCTCAGTGATCCTCACACACAGTGGGCTGAAGTTAAAAAAAGCAGAGTCATCAGTGGTTCACAATTTACATTATAATTGTAATTTATTATTTGCATGTATAGTTATATTAGTTTATGCTTTGTTTGATATTTCATGTTTACCATATCTTTATTTGAAATATAGTAAATATTTATTTCTATACATATTTGGAAAAAATATATTCTGAACAACTTTTTCTTAATGCTAGCATCCCTGGTGTTGTGGCACTTTTCAGAATAAACCCTAGCATGGTCAAGATGATTGGCATTAGCCTTCTTCTTTAATCATCTCAAACCATTGTTCCCTTTGCTTACTATAGTCTTTCTGTGTTTGCCTCCTTTTCATTTCTTACTCTAAACTCTTTCCTGCCATAGCCTTTGCATTTGCTATTCCCTTTGTCTGGAATGTTCTTGCCATGACTCTGCATAGTGGCTTTACTGACACATATCTACAACACATAATTTGTACAGAGATCTAAATATTTTTTCCAGATTTACATTCAATGACCTTTGTATAACAGATATTTCTATTATATCAAGTACTGTGTTATCTACTTGGAAATATTGTCCTATCTTAACTTTGCCACTTGTCAATTAATTAATATCATTGCCATTTGAGGAGTGGAGGAATTTCAGAGTGGCTTAGTGATTGCACAAAGTCATACAGCTAATAAACAACAATGCCAGGGTTTGAACCCAGGGTTTCTGAGTTTGGATCTCTTTTGCATTAATCTCTGACATCACTCATGCTTTTGCCTTTCTGTATCCAGCAGTCTCTTCTTATCTATTTTTATTATTATCAATGGTAGTTTTTGAAATTGTACTCTGTGTAACTGATGCTTTTATGCTTTATTTGACTTGTATAATCATTGCTGTCCTCTTTTTTTTCCACTTTCCCCTCCCACTGCATTCACTGAATTTCTCTTCCGCTTACATAGAGGCCTGTTCATCTCTGCTCATGATGTTTATCTTCCTCTGGATGATCCTTCCTCCTCTATACCTGAAGTTCATCTCTCAAGGACTGGCTATACCCTCACTAGCCCAGTGAATCTCTCCGTAAATCATTCTTCTGTAAAACTCTCTTCCTTCATTGTTTAGATAGTGTGTGGATGCACTGCATACAATATGACACATCTTGTATTACTCACCTTAATTTTTCTGCTCATTAACTTTCCCCTATACTCAAGAATATTAGAAAAATATTATGAGGATAGGAAGCTCATTTTATACTTCTGTAAACATGTGCCATTCCTTCTATTCCAATGTTAGAGACATAGTATTTGTTTTATATTCATGTACACTTGACTGATAATAGCCATTAACTTTTAAGTTGATATTAACATGTAAATGTGTATGTTTGAATTTTCTTTCTACTCATATATCTTTTCTTCAAATATATTTAAAGCATAATGATTTATGAACATCAATATACTTTCTAAATATTTATAGGAAGGAATTTGTGACTTGAACTAACATGTGTATTCACTATAGAAAACATATTCCCAAGATCACCTTTGATTCATTTTCTATTAGTATATTTCTTCAAGGCAAAATTACTGTTTTCATATTCTAAATATACATGTGCTTTACTTCAGATCCTTCTTTGGAAGCAGTATTTTTCTGCTTTTAGTGGTTTAGAATGTTGAATACATGAATACTGAATAATCAGGGTAGAACTTATTGAATTATATGTTGAAATTAATTAAAGAACTTAAATATGCACATTTACAACACTTCCAAATTATTGCATTTTGCATGTTATTGATGGTGATTTCCTCTGAAATTGTAAAATCATGACTACATTTGTCTGGCTTATTCCCATCTTGTTATTCAGGCAGACAGCATTTATAAAGCATTTACCACTACTAAAGAAGATATTGATTTTAAAGCTGCCCCTTCAAAGTCATCCCCTTGTATTATGACAGTGTTTGTGTACCAATTTGCTGCACTTCTATAGTTTCACAACATGTTCATGTTTCACGTTCCATCAACGCCATTTTCTATCTACAATCCAGCACACTACCTATCAAGATACATATATTATTGCTTTTGTTATTTTCATTTCTATACACAAAAATATCAAGCCTAAGTATGCTTGAGGGAAAACTAATTACTTCATATAATTAATTACTTTTCCACAACAGCAACTGTGACAATTACTCATTCTAAGAAACTCTAATCACGTTACAAAAACTTGTTCCAGTTACTTAGCTCCCAACGCAGGCAGGAATATTGCAACCAGGTTGGTCTGTGGTGAGACCTGCTTCACTGTGTCATATTGACACGGTTGCCACCATCCTGGATTTCCCTGATTTCTGAAGGTAAATACAGGTCAGATGTTAGCCCAGATGTCAACTGCTAGGTATCCATAAGTCCTCTGGTTTTAGGAATTTTCCTTTTACTTTAACGTATTAAATAAAATGGATTGAAGACTCACCCCACAGAGGGTGGAATGTTGAAATTCTCCTACCTCCACCACGTGCCCCCTAAGAGCTCACTAGGGGTTTAATGTTTCATTATTATACCTTGTCCCAAAGTCCCAGTTTCCCAGAATTCCTAATTTTACCCATGAACAATTTCTTTTCCTCTTCTTAATCTGAAAATGACACAAACATGGAACATTGTACCTTTGCCTTGACTTCTACAAAATGCCATTTACATAAAGTGATTGTATATGGTGGTCTTTTTTTTTTTTTTTTTTTTTTTTGAGAAGGAGTCTTGCTCTGTCGCCCAGGCTGGAGTGCAGTGGCGCTATCTTGGCTCACGGCAAGCTCTGCCTCCTGGGTTCACGCCATTCTCCTGCCTCAGCCTCCTGAGTAGCTGGGACTATAGGCGTCCGCCAATAGGCCCAGCTAATTTTTTGTGTGTTTTAGTAGAGACGGGGTTTCACCGTGTTAGCCAGGATGGTATCCATCTCCTGACATCGTGATCCGCCCGCCTCGGCCTCCCAAAGTGCCGGGATTACAGGCGTGAGCCACTGCGCCCGGCCGGTGGTCTTAAACTATGGATTTTGGGCTCACAGTGGAGAAGGTATAGCAGTCTTAGGACTTTCTCACTGGCCACATATTTTCCTAAGGTTCTTGTTCTCTTGTTATGCTGTTCCTCTTTGCTTCTTCCTTCTCTAGATCAGCTCCAAGAAAATAAAAATGTTTCCACTTTATTAAGCAGAACCATTCTGCTCCTAATGTCACTCAGCATGAACCCATTTTGACCCAACTATTAAAGCACTCTTTTGAAAACCTAGATAATCCTTCAAAGTGTTTTGCTAGCAAATGGCATTTATTTTGTTTAAGAGAGAACTCTGCTACTAGTTTTTAAGCTGATCATTACTTTTAAAAAAATTCTCAGCAATTTTCCTTTATCAAATCTTTATACTACTTGCAAATGACCCCCATCTTCATAACATATCCTCACTCCCACACACATCTTTCAAATTCTGAGTGGTGTTTGGAAAGAAGAAACGTACCATCTAATGCAGCCACACATATGATTCCCTGGGCAGATTACCAGAAGAAAATGGATCCTCGTTAGTAGCAAACAGCATCAAACTGTAGGTTTTTCTCTCAGGTATCCTGTAATTGAATCTGGTTGCTCTTCTTTTCAGGGAACTAGCTCCCATAGCAGATACCTGCTATTGAATTTGTCGCTCCTTTATGGGAGACACTGTGTCTTTAAGTCAGTTTACCTTGTGCATTGTTTTGTTTAGATCCTCCACATGTATACTTTCTTCCAAAGAAAGCTCATTCTCTATATAATGGTAGCAAATAGAGCTTTGTTTCCATGTTCTATTCTATGAGGAGATCCTGTGCAGTATAGAGTAGGCAGCTTCTATAGCCGCTTCTCTCTCTGTTGTCAGAGACAGGATATCCAGCGGATTACCCATACTGCAAAACCTCTTCATTTCTGAGTTGCTCTTTCTTAGTAGCCAACATGACTTCATTGCAATATGACCTGGTTTTCAACATATGGCATAAACTTCATAAATGGTTAACTGATCCTCACTCGCACACACATTACGAATTGTTAACTGAATTCTGATTTAACTTTACTTGCCTGGAAAAAAGTTGATTAATGATACTCTTGCCAATTACTAGACTATTGTTGATGATTCTCTGCCTAGGTGCATTAACGTTCCTGGATAAGCTTACATATCTAGCACTTTATGGTGCCCTGAGTTAGAGTTTTTTACTTTATTTTGGTGACTATGTTAAAATATTATGTCTTGTTGGACAGATTTATTAGATGAGTGGCCCTTCCTTAAAACTTTAAATAAAGTCAGTCAAAATATGGATAATCATCACTATAAGCCACATATATTTTGTGAACATATATTACATAGAGAGACATCTACTATACAATGGAGAATCAACTATGATATAGGGTATAGTATCTTCCCTCCAGAAGTTTACAGTATAGTCGTAATATTAATAAGAAAAATAACTGGCTTTAATTTACTGCTTATTATGTTTCAGGTATTGTACTAATTTATTGAAAAGTATTATCTCATTTTATCTGTATAAGATGATAAGGCAAAGACTGCGGGCATTTCAGGCTAGAGAACATGATATGCAGAAAGGTACCATGGTTAAAACAGATTTGGCACATTAAAAAGAAAACGAATAAACTACTTTAATTAGAGCATTTTTTATTTAGAGAAAGGGTAAAACATGCTCAGAGAGGGTCCTTTAGCCATTATGCTGAGTTATGTCCGTTATTATGCTGAGTTATGTCAGTTATTATGCTGAGAAGTTTGAGATTTATCATCTCACCAATGGTTAGCACAAATGTTTTCATTATATTTGATTGAGCTTGTGGGATGATGGTAATAGAGCTAAGACTGGATTGAAGTGGGTTAATCAGTCAGCAGATTTCAGGATGGGTTGAAAGAGAAAAAAATAAAAACTGATTGCACAGAAACCAGAAAGAAATTAGCAGACTAGACATGAGGCCATTTGGAACGGGATTTAATTAAATGAATGAAATACATGATATGAGATATATATCAAGAAAGGAATAAATGATATGATATATTATAATAGAAGAAATAAACTAACACGGTAGCTGACTGAATTCAGAGGAAGAAAAATAGGAAGGAAGGAAAGAAAGAACAATTTATTTTACAAGAAAATCCTGACTTTGTCATTGCCATTCACCTGCTTCACCACGGAAATTTTAAATTCAGTAATTTCCTTGGATATATCAGTGGTTTGCAATCGTCCAAATTCTTTATGAATTACAAAATGTTTCAGATATTATCTCCATGCTCTCAAACATGACTAACTCTCCAGCCTTTACTCCTCACATCTTCATTCCAGTGTCTACGATCCCATTTAACTTTGTGCTAAAGTAGTTGTTCTCAAACCTTTTGATATTAGGGCCCATTTACAGTTGGAAAATAATGGAAGTCTTGAAAGAACTTTGTTTAGGTGAGTTATATCTATCTGTATTTTTACTATATTAGAAATCAATACTGAAAAAATAAAATTATGTATTAAATGATCTTAAAATAACTATGAAAATCCCACTATAAGTTAACCTAAATATATATATTTTTTTAAATAACCATATTTTTCAAGACAAAATGTAAAGCCTGTAAGAAGAGTGGCATTGTTATAAGTTTTGTAAAACTGAATTTAGCTTAATAGAAAACAGCTAGATCCTCCTACCTTTTTTCATTCAACCAGTTGTAGTTTTGTTCTTTTTGAAGCAGCTAAAGAAAACCCTGCTCTCACACATATGTAGTCAAAAAAGAGAGAAGAATTGTAATAACCTTTTCAGATAATTATGAATATTCTTCTTTGATACTATACCAAAACTCAAGTTTCTTAAAGGCTAGTTGTAATGAGTAATCTGAAATCACCTGAGTGAACTTTTCATACTGTAAAATTAAAATCCTTTCATCTGTCTTATAGATTAGATCTTTTATCCATGTGTGATTTTGTAACACTGTGTGTTTGGTCATTTGGAAAATATGTGTCCACTGAATTGCACAAATCCTTAACAATCAGGTAAGTCTCTAAGAATTGGGAAATGGTCTAGCTCATGAAGTTGGATACAAGTCTTCAAAAATTTTAGTTTTTACACAAAAGCTTGAATGTTGCCATTGGCAACAGATCTTGTTAGTTGTTTCCCTTGCAGCAACAGGCCTACTCAGTTCACTTTTAAGAAAATATCCACCAAGTATGCAAGCCTGAATAACAGTTTGTCTGTTGTTCTTTCTTTCAAGTAAAAACAGTGTTTCATGAAAAAGCAGCTGCTGCTAGTTTGTTTCACAGTTCAAACAACTACACAATCTCAAATGAAAGCAGAATGCTTTTCCCTGAGGCAGCCACTGTACTTCTGCATGCGTGAAGCAGAAGTGCTTTGTGTATGCCTCCTGTTTGTCACACAAATTACTAACATATGTGTATTTAAGGGTTTTATTTAATAATATTAATATTTTTGTTGTTTCATGGGAGATATTATTGAGTGAGACAAGATTTAATATTTTATTTAATACAGTTGCTAGTGCCATGTGTAAGCCATGGCTCCCGAATTTTCTCACCATTGCTTTTGCTCCATTAGTAACAATGTCAAGAGAATAAAGCAGGCCAATAACATTATTGTATTATAAGGAAAATAGTTTTAACACCATGGACACTCTGGAGCATCTCCAAGGTCCTTCTGTCTGTGGCCAACAGCATGAGAAGCTCTGCACTAAGGATATAACAGTAATCAGGGCCAGTGTGAATAAGTATGGTGAGCTAGGAGAAAAGCCATGCAATTATTTTTCAAGTAGGAGAATACAGAGCTAATTTTAATACTCTGAGTGTTATGTCCCGGTAATGTACTATATACTTTGTCCCCCAAAAGGGAACAACGTTGAACAATTTAAATATTCAATTTTAAAGTTAATACTTTCAAATTGAAAAATTAGTTTGAAGAACCCAGCATAAAGAACATTTGGTAGAGAAATCACATCCTCCTTAATCCCTTTGATCCCAGTAAAAAATTATCTGATCTATTTCATGAGATTAATTTTATAATGATGGCTGTTACTTACAGTCAATAATAAATAAACACAATGAAAATCTTTGAGAGGGTGGAGCCAAGATGGCCGAATACAAACAGCTCCAGTCTACAGCTCCCAGCTTGAGCCATGCAGA
Organism: Homo sapiens; assembly: GCF_000001405.40. Classification (NCBI taxonomy): domain Eukaryota; kingdom Metazoa; phylum Chordata; class Mammalia; order Primates; family Hominidae; genus Homo; species Homo sapiens. Next base: position 99,583,905 of record NC_000011.10, on the reverse strand, counting down.
AGATGGGTGATTTCTGCATTTCCAACTGAGGTACCGAGTTCATCTCACTGGGGAGTGCAAGACAGTAGGTGCAGGACTGTGGGTGCAGCACACCATGCATGAGCCAAAGCAGGGTGAGGCATCCCCTCACCCGGGAAGCACAAGGGGTCAAGGAATTCCCTTTCCTAGTCAAAGAAAGGGGTGACAGACGGCACCTGGAAAATCAGGTCACTCCCACCCTAATACTGCACTTTTCCAACGGGCTTAACAAACGGCACACCAGGAGATTATATCCCGCGCATGGCTCAGAGAGTCCTACACCCACGGAGCCTCGCTCATTGCTAGCACAGCAGTCTGAGATCTAACTGCAAGGAGGCAGCGAGGCTGGGGGAGGGGCACCCACCATTGCTCAGGCTTGAGTAGGTAAACAAAGCGGATGGGAAGCTCAAACTGGGTGGAGCCCACCACAGCTCAAGGAGGCCTGCCTGCCTTTGTAGGCTCCACCTCTGGGGGTAGGGCACAGACAAACAAAAAGACAGCAGTAACCTCTGCAGACTTAAATGTCCCTGTCTGACAGCTTTGAAGAGAGTAGTGGTACTCCCAGCACACAGCTTGAGATCTGAGAATGGGCAGACAGCCTCCTCAAGTGGGTCCCTGACCCCCAAGTAGCCTAACTGGGAGGCACCCCCAATTAGGGGCAGACTAACACCTCACACGGCCGGGTACTCCTCTGAGACAAAACTTCCAGAGGAACGATCAGGCAGCAGCATTTACGGTTCACCAATATCTGCTGTTCTGCAGCCAGCGCTGCTGATACCCAGGCAAACAGGGTCTAGAGTGGACCTCCAGTAAACTCCAACAGACCTGAAGCTGAGAGTCCTGACTGTTAGAAGGAAAACTAACAAACAGAGAGGACATCCACACCAAAAACCCATCTGTACGTCACCATCATCAAAAACCAAAGGTAGATAAAACCACAAAGATGGGGAAAAAACAAAGCAGAAAAACCAGAAACTCTAAAAATCAGAGTGCCTCTCCTCCTCCAAAGGAACACAGCTCCTCACCAGCAATGGAACAAAGCTGGACAGGGAATGACTTTGACGAGTTGAGAGAGGAAGGCTTCAGAAGATCAAACTACTCTGAGCTAAAGGAGGAAGTCTGAACCAATGGCAAAGAAGTTAAAAACTTTGAAAAAAATTAGACAAATGGCTAACTAGAATAACCAATGCAGAGAAGTTCTTAAAGGACCTGATGGAGCTGAAAAGCATGGCATGAGAACTATGTGTGAATGCACAAGCCTCAGTAACCGATGAGATCAACTGGAAGAAAGGGTATCAGCGATGGAAGACGAAATGAATGAAATGAAGCATGAAGAGAAGTTGAGAGAAAAAAGAATAAAAAGAAATGAACAAAGCCTCCAAGAAATATGGCACTATGTGAAAAGACAAAATCTATGTCTAATTGGTGTACCTGAAAGTGACGGGGAGAATGGAGCCAAGTTGGAAAACACTCTGCAGGATATTATCCAGGAGAACTTCTCCAACCTAGCAAGGCAGGCCAACATTCAAATTCAGGAAATAAAGAGAATGGCACAAAGATACTCCTCGAGAAGAGCAACTCCAAGACACATAATTGTCAGATTCATCAAAGTTGAAATGAAGGAAAAAATGTTAAGGGCAGCCAGAGAGAAAGGTCGGGTTACCCACAAATGGAAGCCCATCAGACTAACAGCTGATCTCTCGGCAGAAACTCTACAAGCAAGAAGAGAGTGGGGGCCAATATTCAACATTCTTAAAGAAAAGAATTTTCAACCCAGAATTTCATATCCAGCCAAATTAAGCTTCATAAGTGAAGGAGAAATAAAATACTTTACAGACAAGCAAATGTTGAGAGATTTTGTCACCACCAGGCCTGCCCTAAAAGAGCTCCTGAAGGAAGTACTAAACATGGAAAGGAACAACTGGTACCAGCCACTGCAAAAACATGCCAAATTGTAAAGACCATCAAGGCTAGGAAGCAACTGCATCAACTAACGAGCAAAATAACCAGCTAACATCATAATGACAGGATCAAATTCACATATAACAATAATAACCTTAAATGTAAATGGGCTAAATGCTCCAATTAAAAGGCACAGACTGGAAAATTGGATAAAGAAAATACAGTGTGCTGTATTCAGGAAACCCATCTCATGTGCTGAGACACACATAGTCTCAAAATAAAGGGATAGAGGACGATCTACCAAGCAAATGGAAAACAAAAAAAGGCAGGGGTTGCAATCCTAGTCTCGGATAAAACGGACTTTAAACCAACAAAGATCAAAAGAGACAAAGAAGGCCATTACATAACGGTAAAGGGATCAATTCAACAAGAAGAGCTAACTATCCTAAATATATATGCACCCAATACAGGAGCACCCAGATTCATAAAGCAAGTCCTTAGTGACCTACAAAGAGACTTAGACTCCCACACAATAATAATGGGAGACTTTAACACCCCACTGTCAACATTAGACAGATCAACGAGACAGAAAGTTAACAAGGATACCCAGGAATTGAACTCAGCTCTGCACCAAGCGGACCTAATAGACATCTACAGAACTCTCCACCCCAAATCAACAGAATATACATTCTTTTCAGCACCACACCACACCTACTCCAAAATTGACCACATAGTTGGAAGTAAAGCTCTCCTCAGCAAATGTAAAAGAACAGAAATTATAACAAACTGTCTCTCAGACCACAGTGCAATCAAAGTAGAACTCAGGATTAAGAAACTCACTCAAAACTGCTCAACTACATGGAAACTGAACAACCTGCTCCTGAATGACTACTGGGTACATAATGAAATGAAGGCAGAAATAAAGATGTTCTTTGAAACCAACGAGAACAAAGACACAACATACCAGAATCTCTGGGACATATTCAAAGCAGTGTGTAGAGGGAAATTTATAGCACTAAATGCCCACAAGAGAAAGCAGGAAAGATCTAAAATTGACACCCTAACATCACAATTAAAAGAACTAGAGAAGCAAGAGCAAACACATTCAAAAGCTAGCAGAAGGCAAGAAATAACTAAGATCAGAGCAGAACTGAAGGAAATAAAGACACAAAAAAACCCTTGAAAAAATCAATGAATCCAGGAGCTGGTTTTTTGAAAAGATCAACAAAATTGATAGACCGTTAGCAAGACTAATAAAGAAGAAAAGAGAGAAGAATCAAATAGATGCAATAAAAAATGACAAAGGGGATATCACCACCGACCCCACAGAACTACAAACTACCATCAGAGAATACTATAAACACGTCTACGCAAATAAACTAGAAAATCTAGAAGAAATGGATAAATTCCTCGGCACATACACCCTCCCAAGACTAAACCAGGAAGAAGTTGAATATCTGAATAGACCAATAGCAGGCTCTGAAATTGAGGCAATAATTAATAGATTACCAACCAAAAAAAGTCCAGGACCAGATGGATTCACAGTCAAATTCTACCAGAGGTACAAGGAAGAGCTGGTACCATTCCTTCTGAAACTATTCCAGTTAATAGAAAAAGAGGGAATCCTCCCTAACTCATTTTATGAGGCCAGCATCATCCTGATACCAAAGCCGAGCAGAGACACAACAAAAAAAGAGAATTTTAGACCAATATCTTTGATGAACATTGATGCAAAAATCCTCACTAAAATACTGGCAAACTGAATCCAGCAACACATCAAAAAGCTTATCCACCATGATCAAGTGGGCTTCATCCCTGGGATGCAAGGCTGGTTCAACATACCCAAATCAATAAATGTAATCCAGCGTCTAAACAGAACCAAAGACAAAAACCACATGATTATCTCAATAGATACAGAAAAGGCCTTTGACAAAATTCAACAACCTTCATGCTAAAAACTCTCAATAAATTAGATATTGATGGGACGTATCTCAAAATAGTAAGAGCTATCTATGACAAACCCACAGCCAATATCATACTGAATGGGCAAAAACTGGAAGCATTCTCTTTGAAAACTGGCACAAGACAGGGATGCCCTCTCTCACCACTCCTATTCAACATAGTGTTGGAAGTTCTGGCCAGGGCAGTCAGGCAGGAGAAGGGAATAAAGGGCATTCAATTAGGAAAAAAGGAAGTCAAATTGTCCCTGTTTGCAGATGACATCATTGTATATCTAGAAAACCCCATCGTCTCAGCCCAAAATCTCCTTAAGCTCATAAGCAACTTCAGCAAAGTCTCAGGATACAAAATCAATGTGCAAAAATCACAAGCATTCTTATACACCAATAACAGACAAACAGAGAGCCAAATCATGAGTGAACTCCCATTCACAATTGCTTCAAAGAGAATAAAATACCTAGGAATCCAACTTACAAGGGATGTGAAGGACCTCTTCAAGGAGGACTACAAACCACTGCTCAATGAAATAAAAGAGGATACAAACCAATGGAAGAACATTCCATGCTCATGGGTAGGAAGAATCAATATCATGAAAATGGCCATTCTGCCCAAGGTAATTTATACATTCAATGCCATCCCCATCAAGCTACCAATGACTTTCTTCACAGAATTGGAAAAAACTACTTTAAAGTTCATATGGAACCAAAAAAGAGCCCACATCGCCAAGTCAATCCTAAGCCAAAAGAACAAAGCTGGAGGCATCACGCTACCTGACTTCAAACTATACTACAAGGCTACAGTAACCAAAACAGCATGGTACTGGTACCAAAACAGGATATAGACCAATGGAACAGAACAGAGCCCTCAGAAATAATGCCGCATATCTACAACTATCTGATCTTTGACAAACCTGACAAAAACAAGCAATGGGGAAAGGATTCCCTATTTAATAAATGGTGCTGGGGAAACTGGCTAGCCATATGTAGAAAGCTGAAACTGGATCCCTTCCTTACACCTTATACAAAAATTAACTCAAGATGGATTAAAGACTTACATGGTTAGACCTAAAACCATAAAAACCCTAGAAGAAAACCTAGGCAATACCATTCAGGACATAGGCATGGGCAAGGACTTCATGTCTAAAACACCAAAAGCAATGGCGACAAAAGCCAAAATTGACAAATGGGATCTAATTAAACTAAAGAGCTTCTGCACAGCAAAAGAAACCACTATCAGAATGAACAGGCAACCTACAGAATGGGAGAAAATTTTTGCAACCTACTCATCTGACAAAGGGCTAATATCCAGAATCTACAATGAACTCAAACAAATTTACAAGAAAAAGACAAACAACCCCATCAAAAAGTGGGCGAAGGACATGAACAGACACTTCTCAAAAGAAGACATTTATGCAGCCAAAAAACACATGAAAAAATGCTCATGATCACTGGCCATCAGAGAAATGCAAATCAAAACCACAGTGAGATACCATCTGACACCAGTTAGAATGGCGATCATTAAAAAGTCAGGAAACAACAGGTGCTGGAGAGGATGTGGAGAAATAGGAACACTTTTACACTGTTGGTGGGACTGTAAACTAGTTCAACCATTGTGGAAGTCATTGTGGCGATTCCTCAGGGATCTAGAACTAGAAATACCATTTGACCCAACTATCCCATTACTGGGTATATACCCAAAGGATTATAAATCATGCTGCCATAAAGACACATGCACACGTATGTTTATTGTGGCACTAGTCACAATAGCAAAGACTTGGAACCAAGCCAAATGTCCAACAATGATAGACTGGATTAAGAAAATGTGGCACATATACACCATGGAATACTATGCAGCCATGAAAAAGGATGAGTTCACATCCTTTGTAGGGACATGGATGAAACTGGAAACCATCATTCTCAGCAAACTATCGCACGGAGAAAAAACCAAACACCGCATGTTCTCACTCATAGATGGGAATTGAACAATGAGAACACATGGACACTGGAAGGGGAACATCACACACCAGGGACTGTTGTGGGGTGGGGGGAGGGGGGAGGGATAGCATTAGGAGATATACCTAATGCTAAACGACGAGTTAATGGGTGCAGCACACCAACATGGCACATGTATACATATGTAACAAACCTGCACGTTGTGCACATGTACCCTAAAACTTAAAGTATAATAATAATAATAATAATAAAAGAAAATCTTTGAGAATTAATTCCTCACTATAAAGATCTGCACAAATGCAGAATCATCTTTAAACATTTTAGAAGCAATAACTAAAGAACTGTCCAAACTTTGTTTTCAATATATATGTCTATGGTAATTACCTTGTGATAGTCCCACAAACTCTTTTAAACACTGTATTTTTTATTTTATTACTCTAGAAATAAATTTTTAATGATCGGGCTCAATGGAAAAATAATCATCTGTCACACATTATTTTTAATTAAATGAAAATCATGACATCCTACAGCAAACTACAATATTAGCATAAGTTACAGCAAATTGCTTCATAGAAACATAAATGTCATAACTCTGTACGTTAATCTAGTAAAAACATCTATTTGTCCTGGACTCCATGCTTTCTCTAAACATTAAGATTAATCATTGGTAGAATCACTAGTCATGTACTCTCAATTTATTTTCCTAAATGTGAAGAGCCCATTTAGAGCATATGGTTGTAGAATATGAGTGCTTGAGGCAAAGGGAGAGGGATGGGGGCAAGAATCTCTGTAATGTGTCAAAGGACACAAGCAGGCAGAGCTACAACTCTATGTGAAAAGTGCTGGACATTTCTCCCTGCTTTAATGCACTAATGCAATCTTTTTTTCTCTCTACCTATTCAAATACCCTCAATCCTTCAACCTCCCTCTTAAGCCCTGTCTTTTCCTGAAGTCTTTTGGTGTGAATTATTTAACAATTGTGCCACAAAAAGTCCAATAAAGACCTCTACCGAAACTTTGATTAATAAAAGAAATTCATAATACCATAGAAATCCCTCAACATTTTTTCCCTTTATTGTGGTTCAAATTTGATTACTCAGTCCAAAGATTTGTGCTGTGGTCTGAATGTTTGTGTCCCTCCAAAATGCATATACCCTCAAATCTTAATCCCCCAAGGTGATAGTATGAAGAGATGAGAACTTTGGGGAGGTGATTAGGTCATGAGGGTGAAACCCTTAAGAATAGGATTAGTACCCTTATAAAAGAGGCCCCAGAGAGCTGCCCTGCTCCTTCCAACAAGTGATGAGGGTACACTGAGAAGGCACCATCTATGACAAAACACACCCTCCCCAAACACCAAATCTGCAGGCAACTGGATTTTGGACTTCCCACCTTCCAGAAATATAAGAAATAAACTTCCATTGTTTATAAGCCACCCAGTTTATGGTATTTTGTTATAGCAGCCCAAATGGATTAAGAGAGTCTGTTACCTCTATGAATTAAGACTGAAGGGTTGCCTTTTTCTCTGGTTTATCTACAGTGTCTGTCCTGGACATTGCCTTACTCAGAGTAGTATTCATTACATTTTTACTGAAAGAAAAACATCAATGAAAGGCTACCAAAAGGGTTATATGTCAATAAGGAGAAAATATCCAAGTATATGTAATGCATTTATAATAGGGACTAAAACACTTTCTATTTCTCCAATTACTGCTTTAAACACCTCCTGCCAGATTTCCCTTTCTCTGCCATAGATGAGGTTCTTGATGGGTCTTCAGCATTCCATATACCTTAAGGTATTAAAACAAAGCTTGTTTTGGCAATTAAGACTCATTTTGAGAATACTAATATATCCAGCTCTGCCTAGACAAAAAATTCAATCTCTCATTCCTCCACTCTCTTCTCCTCACAGATCAGGCTTGCCGTGGTGCTTCGGAACCTGTGGTAGGGAAAAAGCGGTTATTTGTTTCTATTTTTGTTTTGATCTTTATTTGTCTCCCTTCTCTTCTCCTGAAAAATCCTTCCAATGTTGCTGGAATATACAGGCCACAAGTTTTAGCTGAATGGTGCAGCTGTGATGTGGCCACCGGGGCCCTCTGTGTGGTAGTTGTCCAAGTACGGATTCTCTAGTGGGTTGCCCCTATTGGTTCTTTGGAAGTTCCTTCTAATCTGCCATGCTGCTTAGTTCTAAGACACAGAAATCTACTCTCTAACTGATGTCTTATGCTGGTGCTCTTCTCCCAGCTCCACCCCTGGGGAGACTACCTTCCTCTTTCTTCTGAAGTCACCTCCTCCTGTCTGGTGGCATTGGCTAGAATCCATCAATAAGGGTCATGCCTGGCTACTTATGAAGCATCAACTTCTGTCCCACAGAAGGTTCATGAACCTTTGCTCTTCCAAATGCTGGGATTCAGTATGTACTCTACCACCTTTTAATTTTATTTTGCTCCAAGAGTAGCTTTTATCAACTTACTTTGGAAAACAGAATCTAGTTTCTATGCTCTTACGCTGCCATGTTAGCGACCCTCAAAATCCACAGGAAGCACGTCAGCCTTTCTCAAGATTGTTTTAGCATGTTCTTAACAAATCTGAGTTTCTGTCACTTAGTAAACATTTAGATGTAGAGTAAAAGGCATATCTTTCCTCTCTGCAGACACTCCAATGACCACAAGCAGTTCCTCTGGTACCTATTCCGAGGTAAAGAAAATCATCACTTTTTCCTTTCTCTGAGTGAGGGGAAAAGAAATCTCAGACCACTGCCAACAGCATCATTTAGCCTGGTGACTTCTTTTTCACTTCTCTTAACTTTCTTTAAGTATCAAATTTTCTGAATATTTAAGGGGGATTCTATTTTACATATTTTAGTAAATATTATATAGACACGTCTAACACCATTTCTTCAAAAATTGAGATACTTAAGGTCTGTTGTTCCCAAGTTTGAGACTTTATAATAAAAGATATGAGATTATTGGAAAACAACATTAGAATATGTAAGAAGATTCAAATAATGTAGCCTAACCCATTTTGTTACAGAGAAGGAAATAATGACTTCTCCAAAGTCCCACAATTCATGGCAAAGTTGAAACTAGTATATAGCCCTCCTATTTCCAGTCTATTTCCCAAAAATGTACCATTTTTCATTTTAAAAGAAGTCATTTCTGACTAAAGAGCTTCTGTACAGCAAAAGAAACTATCATCAGAATGAACAGACAACCTACGGAGTGGGAGAAAACTTTTGCAATCTATCCATCTGGCAAAGTTCTAATATCCAGAATCTACAAGAAACTTAAAACACGTTTACAGGAAAAAAAAACAAACAACCCCATCAAAAAGTGGGCAAAGAACATAAACAGACACTTCTCAAAAGAAAGGCATTTATGTGGCCAACAAAGATATGAAAAAAAGCTCAACATCACCAGTCATTAGAGGAATGCAAATCAAATCCAAAATGTGATACTATCTAATGCCAGTCAGAATGGTGATCATGAAAAAGTCAAGAAACACCAGATGCTGGAGAGGCTGTGGAGAAATAAGGAAAAGTTTTTATACTGTTGGTGGGAATGTAAATTAGTTCAATCATTGTGGAAGACAGTGTGGCAATTCCTCAAGGATCTGGAACCAGAAATAACATTTGACCCAGCAATCCATTACTGGGTAAATATCCAAAGGAATATAAATCATTCTGTTATAAAGATGCATGCATGCATATGTTTATTGCAGCACTATTCACAATAGCAAGGAAATGGAATCAACCCAAATGCCCATCAATGATTGACTGGGTAAAGAAAATGTGGCACAAATATACACCATGGAATACTATGCAGCTGTAAAAAAGGATGAGTTTGTGTCCTTTGCAGGGACATGGATGAAGCAGGAAACCATCATTCTCAGCAAACTAACACAGGAACAGAAAAGAAAACACTGCACGTTCTCACTCATAAGTGAGAGTTGAACAATGAGAACATGTGGACACAGGGAGGGAAACATCACACACCTGGGCCTGTCGGGGAGTGGGGGGTATAGGGAGTGATAGCATTAGGAGAAATACCTAATGTAGATGACGGGTTGATGGGTGCAGCAAACCACCATGGCATGTGTATACTTACGTAACAAACCTGCACGTTCTGCACATGTATCCCAGAACTTAAAGTATAATAAATAATAATAATTTTAGCTTTGATTTCTTTTAAGAATTGAAACGTGTGACGGTGGTAGAAGAACATGTCTTGGAAACTTAGAGAAGTTTCAAAGAATTACATATGCTCTAGAAAGGTTTCTCCAAAATGCATGCATGGCCAATGAAAAGAAGACAAAAAAGGAAATGGTCAGGGGCAGGAGAATCTCTTGAACCCAGGAGGCAGAGGTTGCAGTGAGCCAAGATCACGCCACCGCACTCAGGCCTGGCAATAGAGCGAGACTCCGTCTCAATAGAAAAAAATTCATTCCTGGAAGCTTATTAGGAACTATTTTTATTTTTTATTTTTTATTTTTATTTTTTTTTGAGACGGAGTCTCACTCTGTCTGTCGCCCAGGCTGGAGTGCAGTGGCGTGATCTGGGCTCACTGCAAACTCCGCCTTCCTGGTTCACGCCATTCTCCTGCCTCAGCCTCCCGAATAGCTGGGACTACAGGCGCCTGCCACCACGCCCGGCTAATTTTTTGTATTTTTAGTAGAGACGGGGTTTCACTGTGTTAGCCAGGATGGTCTCGATCTGCTGACCTCGTGATCCGCCCGCCTAGGCCGCCCAAAGTGCTGGGATTACAGGCGTGAGCCACTGCACCCGGCCAGGAACTATTTAAAACAACGTTCCTACCATGTAGAATAGCCTGGCAGAGTGGAATTATCTGAGTTCATAAAAAGAGTATTATGTAATCAGGTCCATTTTATTATTTAAAAAAAAAAACACTCCTTGGGTGGAATCCAAAACAGAGTAGCTTCTTGGCAACATACTTCATTTTAAAACTGATTCTAGTGTATTAAATTTTCTACTAAATTAATTATATTCCATTTGACAATAACAACTGTTTATTTCTTAAATTAAATATTCCATCATATTTGGCTATTTTAAATTTAAAAATAGTCCCCTTCTTTTTAGTCTTCCTTTATCTCTATTGCTGGCTCCACTGTTCTCCCGCATGCTGGCTCAAAACATCAAACACAAATATATTTTAACCCCTCCTCTCTTTTTCCTGTAATCTGAAATGTGTTAAGTCCATCATATGTTTCTAACCGCCAATATATTCTTCCATTCTCAATTCTTCTACCCACAATCATTCACTGTTTTCTCATTTGATAATCTATTTTTTAAAAAAAACCCTCAATTATTAAAAATTAACAAAATAAAATAAAACTTTTAACTATTTCTGAAAGTCTGACTTACAGTATAATAGATCTATGGACAAGGGGAGGGGAGCATTATATCATCAGTCTGAGCAAGCCCTTTGATGCTAAAATTGTCTTTACATAATGATCATTTACTAAATAATGATCATTTCCGTGTTAAGGAAGTTCAGGCTTGACATGAACCTTCTTGAAAAACTCTTATGATAGTGCCAATTCTATCACTGACCAACTCTGGACACTTAGGCAAACTAAAAAGGACCTTTTTAGGCAAACTAATTCTACCCTTTGCTATTCTGTAGCTTCTACCGGTTTGTTCTTTCAGAGCAAGCTTGTCCAAACCGTGGCCAGCAGGCTGCATCTAGCACAGGATGGCTTTAAATGCAGCCCAACATAAATTTGTAAATTTTCTTAAAACATAATACGATTTTTTTTAGCTTTTGTTTTGTTTTGTTTTTGTTTTTGTTTTGCTCATCAGCTATCGTTAGCGATGGTGTATTTTATGTGTGACCCAAGACAATTCTTCTTTTTCCAGTGTGGCCCATGGAAGCCAAAGGATTGAACATTCCTATTTTACATCTCTGAAAATAAGTCTAAATGGCTTACATATAACAAACTTTTAGCTATTTAATGATAGTGGTTGTATGTAGTATTAACTTTTGGAAATTCTGTCTTTTTGAGATGAGATTTCTTGCTATGGGCCATGTAATGATTATTGCTGTGTGAACTGAGAGGCTTTCGTATCTCATTAAGATTAGAGCAGGATACTGAAATTATATTTATGTATATTATATGAAGAAAAAATATTACTTTCTTCAAAGTCTTTATAGCTTGCTTTATGTCATTTACAATGATAGCTGCTTGTTATTAGAGAATATACAAAGGCTAACTCTTGATGTCCTAAGTAAAGAAGAAATCTATAACTGAAATTCACTATGATTAATTTGAATATGAGAGAAGAGACAGGCCAAATCACTCTATGGAAGTATGACCAGGATATGTACCCATACTTCATTATGATAAACCTTTTTTGCCTTCCCTCCTAAGTCATTTGTATCTTAACCTTCTGCATCTTTTACTCATTGACTTACAAAAAGCAATAATTAATTCAGTGAAGATCTTGCAAGAAGAAAGATGTGCTTCCTGAGTTTTGGTCAAAAATTCCCCTAAATAATAGCTGAGTCTTTAATTCAGTTCTCATTCTAGTCATTCCATTTCAATTCTCATTTCTGTTACAACAGAGTTTAAAGTGTCAAGGTTTCCTAACTTTGGTTTCCCTCCCCTGAATACATTTGTGATTATCTGTTTCCATTATAAGACTGAGTCTGGAACTGAACATAAAATCAGTCATTGTTAGCATGACAGCAATACAGATCTAACCTCTCCCTTATTCTAGGCATTATTGATACAGCTGAAGATTATGTGAGCTCCTTATTTGGTAGATTCATACCAGTACTGACTCATAATGAAGCTAACAAATAGCCATTGAAAACCTACAGGTCTAAATACTTCATGTTACCTTTTCTCTCGCAACTACTACAATAGCATCCTACACATGTCCAGGCCTTCTTTCTTACTCAAGCTGGACAGTTGGTTTTCCATAAAGCAGAAAGCAGGCTGCCTTTACGTGTTATTAACTTATACCTCTCCTCTGCTCTGGCCATTGTCTATCTCATTATTTCACCACCTATCACTCTTCTTGTCACAGACTCTTTGTCTGTATTGATTCTTCTCTCATCTGTATTAGTTATTCTTTATGTACAGTATCTGTTTCCTTTTGAGGGTTTTGACATTTGTCTTTCCCTGCCTGCCTGAAATACTGTTTCAGATATTCATGTGGCTTGTATTTCCATGTTCATTGCGTTTTTCCTTAGAGACCTCTTCAGAGTGAACTTACTTGATCATTCTATGTTTAATAACACCTTGCCACCCCATCTCCCCCAATATTACTCACTATCATTTTATTCCATTTAATTTCTTTATGGGAATTATTCCTATTAGATATTATGTTATTTCTTGCTAAAGTGTCTGTCTTCTCTACAAGAATGTGAGTTCCAGAAAGACAGGGATTTTGCCTGTCTTGTTCACTCCTATAGCCTTAGCACCTAGCAAAATATCTAGCAGGCACATAATAAATACTTGGTAAATTAACAGACAAATGAATTATACTAAAAGATCCTTGAAAATTATTATGTAACTGGTACCTGAAATAATATTTTTAAATGCCTTTGATCTCTGTAATCTTTATCCCCAATACACAATATCTTTGACAAAGTATATAGGCTACGACTACTTGAAACTTTCTATCTATAGCTATGATGTTTCTTAGAAGAACGACTGAACCATAAATGAAACAAATGCTGCATGTTGGGTTTTATAGAATCCTATTTTAAAAACAGTCAATTCCTTCAGGGCTATTCTGGAACAAATAAGGATCCTGGGGCCAGGTTGAAATAGTTCTTTCTGAATTTAGGTATTAAATAAAAATAGCTTTGGGCCAGCAACGGCACTGTGAGCCAGTACATCTCTGAATTACCATAGAGAAACAAGTAAAGAGGCATATGACCCAAGCTTTTTTCTTTTCTTCTTTTTTTTTTTTTTTAAAGTAACCTTTAGAACCTCTTGAAGCAAATTCTTGCAGGCCTCAGTGATGTGTGAAAATGGATGACATGAGGCTGAGCAGCCTGATGAAGACATTGACTATTCAAATATCTTACCTTCTTTGTTTTTTTCTTTACTTTCTTTCTTTTGCCTTTAGTAATTTTTTATTGGTTGTTTTTACAATCCCCTGAACTAAGCTAAGATAATTGCTATGGCTTTAATTCAGTAGGATTTCCAAATGCCCAAAGAAATCTCAGCTTATTTCTTATATTAAAAATATTAGAATGATCAGATTTGGAGAATGTAAAATTATTCATCCTATTCGGATGTTTCTTCACCAGAAATTACTGCAACAGGGAGCATAGTTTGTGTCCCTCTAAACCCAAGAAAAAAATTAAAGTAAATATTTCTTTTCATTCATTTAAAAAATAGTTATCCCATCATGCCTCCATACTAGTGGTTAGCAGTGAAGATTTTGAGATAAGAAAGCCACACAATAGAAGGATTCTGGAGCCTGGAAGTTCTTAAAAATGGTGGCTCAAGCCTGTAATCCCAGCAGTTTGGGAGGCCGAGGCAGGCGGACCACAAGGTCAGGAGTTCGAGACCAGCCTGGCCAACATGATGAAACCCTGTCTCTACTAAATATACAAAAATTAGCCAGGCATGGTGGTGCACACCTGTAATCCCAGCTACTCGGGAGGCTGACGCGGGAGAATCGCTTGAACCCGGGAGGCGGAGCTTGCAGTGAGGCCACATTGCGCCACTGCCCTCCAGCCTGGGCGCCAGAGCGAGACTCTGCCTCAAAAAATAAATAAATAAATAAATAAATAATAAAAATAAAAAACAGTTATCCCATAGCAAGCATTCATAGCAAGGATTATGCTAGGTCCTGTATATGAAACAGCAAATAGAACAGATAGATATTTTATCTATTCTTATAGAACAGATGATCTTGTACTTTTGTATAAACATGTAAAAATCATAATTGCAAAATATTCAAATGCTGAAAAATAAAAAATTTTCACTTCAAACCATGTTTATCCATGATCTGGACCATTCAGATGGTCCAGCATACCCTAGAGCCACAGAGAGGTTAAAGCCATACTATAAGCCTAGTCACCAACCTGAAGACTTCATTGATATTTAACTAAGTGCTCTGACAAATTTCAGTGTGAAAGCTATAACGAAAATTAGAATGGAAAATGTTCTTTTCCAGATAATAGAAAAGAAAAATCTTCTGGTTGATGTCTATGTTAAATATTATCAGATATGAAAGTTGACAGAGTTTCAAAAAGTCAATTGTTAACTTTATTAATGGCTAGCAAAATAGGATTTTTCTCAAAGAGCTAAAATAAACAGAAAATATATGGCATTTAACTCATTCTTGTAATTAGTTATACATGGTTCGTTTTACATATTATATATAATCCATATTTGGATCCTGATAAAACTATAAAATTTGTTTAATATAAAGGAGATCAAGAATCTTCCTTTGCATTCTGCATCGCACTTATGTCTGCTTGCTTGAGTGCTCAATGAATGTAATTGTCTTTCCACTTTATATTCCAAAGAGACCTGAATTTGAACAGGTGAGGTACAGAAAATAAGCTGTTTTCTTGCTCACAAATTATTCAAATGACTGCATAGAGGCAGTTCCCCAGATGCTCGTGCTAAGCAGTAAAACAATTCTTACCATAAGCAAGCATATTTTACAGCAGTATTATAGTGGTACAAATTTATTTCTGCTTAACAAATGATAATATAAACATTCATTCACAAGTTCTCATGGACACTTGATATAATGTGAATTATTGGAGCATTACTTTATAATAATAAAGAAAATCAATGTAATTATTAATCTTCTATCAGGAAGGATGTATTATTGTTGAAAGTTATCTTGCCAGAAAGGGTTAGTCCAGTTTAAAGAAGAGATGATGTCCATGTCATCTTCTAGATTCCAAAACACTTTTGATGTACATTGCATACTCCTTAGCCAATACTCAAGGGGAAAAATATTTTTCAATAAATATTTTCTAATGTAAAAAGTAATATTTAGCTGACCTAATAAGTTAACTTTTTCTTTAATCTCCAATACACTGAGACACAAATTTGCTCTTATTTCTCTAGGATGCTGAACCTGGCTTTTTAGTTGATAGTTTAATTTTATATCACCCCAGGAATTTGTGACAATTATAGAAACCTTTTAACATTTTCTTTTCTTTTAATATAAAAATAACAAAGCTCACTAAGTTCAGGTAATCCAGTTCCCACCGCCCACTGACAAGGAGAAATTAAATTGTCTTCTGATTAATTACACGTCTAATACCGCCAGGGCACAGCTGATAAAAGTCAACTTGGGTTTCCACACAGAGGTAGTCTCCATTATCATCATAACTTCCCCAGGGACAGATACAATGTGCAAATACATAATTTTAATTTGATCATGGAGGAGCCATAATCCATTTCTCTTTCTCAACTGCAGCAGGGAAGTCAGAATTTATATTAGCAGGCACCTGTTTTCTGTAACACTTCTATTTTCATTTTCCTTTGGAAGTTCTTAGGCAGCACTAACTGGCAGTGACAAAGTTCTGTGCAATTTACCACACGGCCACCAAGAAGGACTGTATTTGTATAAGCTTATCAATGACAGACACTCTCTGTTCAACAGTACATCATCATCTTGGCAGAAGGAACAAACTGTCACCTTTCCAATAAAATGGATTTAACTCAATGGAGGAGAATGGGGTCAAAGTAGAGAAAAAAAAAATGCCTTTTGTTGTTGTTTTTAAAGCAATACAGCTGACATTAGAAGCATCTGAAAGTGATTCAGAAGAAAAAAACTATATGTATTAATGTAGGTCTAGGAAGGAGGTCACTGTGGCTCCAGGAATTAGATTTCCTCTCTTGTCTCACCTTCATATTGTCTGGTATGTTGAAAAGCGCTGCTACAGGAGACAGTCCTCCCATTATTCTCCTACTAGGTAACACCTATAGACAGACAGAATCTTTCTGAGCCTCATCCCTATTGAGAAGAAAAAAATACTTTACTTACCCAAGTGCAAAGATACAGACTACATAAACCTCAAATTATTTTTGATTCTAAGATTTATAAATTTAGTCAAGGAAAAGATATAAATATACCTAGTTTTAATAAACCTAATTAAGTATTATTCTTATTTAGTCTACAACTTTTGCTAGAAATATATAGGTAAATTTAGGATGTTGACAAAAATATATGCTAGTACTGAGGAGTACAAAATGAATGCTTTTTCAAAAACCTCCAACCAAAGGATAGAATGTTAATGAATTAATAATCATGGCTTTCCAGCCTATTCTAAGAATAAATACTAATAATATTTGTATATGACATATCTCCCATGCATTATTTCCCCTGATCTCAGTGTCCTATTAGGCTGTTCTATTAAAATCTCTATTACACCAGTCAGGAAATAGTCAGACTCATATTAATGACTTCATATACATAACCCTTTTCTGCAAATCCTCTTTAATGAGCTGGCCACTGCTATTCTCTGTGTCTTTCCATCTCATTTCTTACCTATATTTTTTAGTTTAACTAAACACACAACCAAAAAAATGACGACAGTAGTAAAAAAGAATGTGACATTAAGTAAAATTTACAGGAAGACAAAACACGCTGGGAAAAGAGATGAAAGTGATCCTGCTAACCCTTGTGCATGTGTGTTAGTTCGTTCTTACGTGTCTATAAAGAAATATCTGAAGCTAGATAATTCGTAAAGAAGAGAGGCTTAATTGGCTCACAGTTCTGCTGGCACCAACACTCTTGGCTTCTGGTGAGGGCTTTAGGAAGCTTATAACAATGGCAGAAAGCAAGAGGAGCTGGTGTATCACAGGGTGAGAGCAGGAGCAAGCAATAGTGAGGGGGAAGGTGCCACACTCTTTTAAACAACCAGATCTCACGTTATTCGGAGTGAGAACTCACCCATTACCAAGAGGAGGGCACCAAGCTATTCAGGAAGGATCTACTCCCATGATCCAAAGACCTCCCACTAGACCTCACCTCCAAAATGGGGGATTACATTTCAACACGAGATTTGCAGAAGACAAACATCCAAACTCTTTCAGCATGCTAGCAAGCCAAAACAATTTCAGATAATTATCTGCCTTCATAAAGCTACTCTTATTGAAAGCAATGATATCACTATTATTATTAATTGTTTATACCACTCTGTATGACCTAAACGGATGTCATACATGGTTTTGTGTTCCACCTATAGGTATGAAGGGAAGACTTCCCTTCTGCCCTCTGAAGGTTGGCTGAAATGTACTGACAATGGAAAGATTAACAGAAGAAAAGGCATACAAATTTACTAACATGCATGGGGGGAAATCATGGGAGAATGATTACCTAACAACCCAATCAGGTTCACAATCGTATATACTCTTCTTCATTGGAAAGACAGAGATAGGAGAATGTAGGCAATTTTAAGGAGTAGTAAATCATTTTTCAGGAGAACTGAATGGTCCCAAAGAGCAGACAATGGTTTGTAAATGATTCTCTTTGAATACCAAGTGGTAATGGGGAACAGAAAATAGCAAGGGACAAGGTTCCTCTGAGCTCTGGGGCAGATGGCAACAAATTGTGAGAAAGTGAGGGGTGAAACTTCACTGTAAACAAAGGTTGTCTTATTATGTATATAAAGTCTCTCAAGTAATCTCTTGACTGTACCCTCAGAAGAATACATGAAAAGTCTATCTGGGCATGGTGACAACTTTTAGTCTTTTTCTCTTCTCTGCTAGTTAATATTGCCTGATCATTTGATGAGATTTCTGAGGAGGAGGCTTTAAGACAATTGCATTTCTTTTGGAAGAAATTTCCTCAGTCAGATAAGGGCACTTCCACAGAAAGTGCCCTTGGGAGGAGAGAAACAAGGGAAAGGTGGAAAGTCCTTGGTTATGAGGCGGCTTCTAGGGGCTTCCAACTTCCTTTAAGACAAGTTGAAAGTGCTCAGCATGACAAAGCATCATATTTTGGGTTATTGTTCTTTAAGCCCAAACACATGAATAAAGAACAATTTATATTTCACAAAAAGGAAGCTATTTGTACTAAATATTATTGTGATATACTTATTGAAATGTTAAATACTTATAAAGAAATTAGAATAATTACTGGCCATAGTCTAAAAAGAATATGATAGTTAAAAAAACCCATTAGCTGGAGAAATTCTGCATAACAGAGTAAAGGAACATAAAATTTTAGTTTCTGTTGTTGAGTTTGTTTAAACATGGAGACTGAATTTACAAAGAGCCGAAAACCATCAGGAAAGCTGCTTATAAATTGAAAGTAGATAAATCCTGGACCGTATTGTCTTCTTCCAATTGCTATCTCTGCACACATTTGGGGGATGTATGTGTTCCAAAAAAAGAATTCTCAAAGAGAACAATAACAGATTTTGGCACAATAGAGATTAAAATGTTGATGCTTTTTTCACATATATATTAAAAATAGGCTACAGTAATTATGATTACCTCAAATGATTTCACATATTCTTTGATAATAGCTTAGATTTTCTTGAAGTTAATTAATTTCATATTAAGAAAACTAAATTAATTTACAGAGTTTTAAAGTTCTTTTTTGTTTTTGTTTTTGTTTTTTTACGTTCAGCTAATGAGTTTAGGACACAGTTCTTTCACTGCTACTGTATTTGAAAATGAGGATACAGAGAAATATTTAGTCTACTTTACTTTTGCTATAAACAGAATTGTTGGCCAGGTGTGGTGGCTCATGCCTGTAATCCCAGCACTTTAGGAGGCCTGGGCAGGAGGATCGCTTGAGGCCAGGAATTCAAAACCAGCCAACTTAGTGACACCCTATCTCTACAAAATAAAAAATAAAAATAAAAAAATTACCCTGATGTGGTGACACATGCCTGTAGTCCTAGCTACTTGGGAGGGTGAAGTGAGAAGATCACTTGATCTCAGGGATTCAATGTTTCAGTGAGCTATGATGATGCCGCTGCACTCTAGCTTGGGTGACAAAGCAAGACCCTGTCTAAATAAATAAGTAAATTTTAAAAAAAACAGAATTGCTTCTATTTGCATGTGAAACAGTCACAGACATATATAAATATGTGTTAGAGTAAAAAATGAGCCCACGTTTTTCTTATTGCTGTACGTGCTCTCTGTATAATGTGCTTTTGCAGCTACTCTCTTGAAGAGATTGAATCTACTTTTCCACCTCTTGAATCTGATCTTGGCTCATGGGATTTGCTTTGTCCAATGAAATATTAGCAAATATAACAGAGGCATGAAAAGTGCTTGTAAACTGGGGATTTTCCTGTTTCTTCCTGTACCTAAAAAGCCTACAACTACATGAAAGAGCCTAAGCTAGCCTTCTGGATGATCAGAGACATGACCAAGTCATTCCCATTGCCTTTGCTAACAAGGCATCAATCACAAGCAATGTGAGTAAGGCCAAATAACACCATCAAGTGCGTCATGGGTACTGCAGAGATAAACTGAGGCTGCCCAGACCAGAAGAACCACCGAGCTCTAACCCTTGGAATTGTAGGAAAGAATACATGCTATTTTATTTTAAGTGAATAAATTGTGGGCTGATTTGTTATGCTGCAAAAGCTAACTAAGGCAATATGCATTCTTCATGTACATTGGGCATAAAGTGAATTGAATTTCCATAAACAGTTTCTCCAGCCTTAAAACACATATCCACAAATGGAAAGACACACACTCCTCCTCAAATTTTTGTCTTTTCCAAGCTCTCTACCATTCTTTCTCCTTTTCCTAGGTTTACATTGTCAGAAAACAGATTTGACAATAATTGTCTAATTTTCCTCTTCTACTAACCAATTCACAACTCACTGCCGTAACGCTGGGGTTTCTACTACTTCATTAAATGTAACTATTACTATCATTAAAAGAAAAGAGTTTAGTACCAGTCACATTTAAACTTCCTAATGCATTGCCACTGCTGACCACTCTCTTTCTGGAGATGTTTTGCTTTCCTTCTTTCCCACCGTTTCCCAAAATTTATAATTTGCCTTTCATTCTTTTCAGCCTGTACTTCCTCTTTCCCCTTAAAAAAGTACATGCTACTCAGACATGCTTCCTTGTCTTATAACTCATTATTACATCCATAGTTGTTGAGTGATTATTTCCTTTCCCATATCTTAAAATGTCATCCATGCAAGAATGAATCACAGATTTACTTTTAGCTCGGTCATCTTCCCTAAATTTTAGATATTTTTCACCTAAGGGTATTGTAGACATCTAAAGCTCAACATGTACATTGTTGAGCTCAGTATTTCCCAGCTTTAAATCTGCACTTCCCATTTTATTAAGAATCCAGGTAAATGGCAAGATCATCTACACCTATAAGCAAGGTAAGAAACCATTTCCTCTACCAATAAATATTTAATCAATTACTAAGTCCTATATATTTTAATGCCAGTATGTTTTTAAATATTTCACTCCTGTTGATAATCTTCACTGTAGTCTTATTTTCAGGCCCTCATCATATTTTATTCAAGTATTCAGAATGCTATGCTTAGTCTAATTCTCATGTATTCATAACCAGTTTTTCCTATTAACATCTCATGGTAGTATGAAACATGTACCACAGTTAATAAACTAATATTTATATTTTATTTGTAACGAATGTAGAGGAGAAAAGATAATTTATTTTTTTCTGTGGACTTAATAGTTCTTAACTAAGACTTCCTGTAATGAAAGACAGATCAACAGGAGTAAAAAAGTTTATTAACATGTATATTCCCTGTATATGACTGATAACTCAGAGAAATATGTAAATGTCTAGAGCAGATCTCAAAGAAAATAAAATTAAACTTTAGGTTTCAACATCATTGCTTTTTAATAGAAAGGAAAAAAAAGTGCAAGGAAGGCTCAGTTAAGATAAGATGGCCAGAAAAACAGCTTAAACAAAGGTAAGATTTGATATGCAGATTTTAGTCAATGCCTGCTTTATTGATTATGAGTCTCTAGTAATTTAGTTGTCCTCTTCATGGTGCAGAGAGAGAGAGACACTCTTACAAACAGGTATTTCTTATGCAAACACACATTTTTCTTACAAAAGGGCAACTTCTCAGAGCCAGTCCTGTGTCTGCAGTTTTTCAAAATAACCAACTCAAAATAACTAGTATGCCAAGGAGGCATACTTTGGAGTGGCATATTCTGATCTCCAGCAGTTATATTCTGGGGATGAAATGTCCTGAGCATTATCACTAACACACATACTTGACTGACATTTCCTTAGTATTTATGTAATGCTCTTTTTCTCTTATGAGATCCTATCCAATATACCTCATTACATTTAGTTATCATATCTCCTTAGTCTCCTCTTTCTGTGCAAAAGTTTCCCTAATTTTCCTAAGTTTTGATGACTTCGAAAGTTTTGGGGTTATAGGTTTTGGGGAGGAAAACCACAAAGCTGAGCTGTCATTCTCATCATACCAAGGGTAATATCATCAACATGACTTATCTCTGCTAATATTGATCATGATTATTACATGGCTGAGGAAATGTTTACCAGTTTTCTCCACCATGAAATCACTTCTCTTTTGGCCCCCATTTCCCATTCTGTACTCTTTGGAAACAAGTCAGTATGCACAGCGAATACTTAAGAAAAGAGATATTTATTTCACACCTCCTTGAGGATGAAGTATCTACATAAATTATTTGAAATTAATCTACATAAAGATTGATCAATTTTCCTGATTCATTATTTATTT
This sequence comes from Homo sapiens, assembly GCF_000001405.40. Lineage (NCBI taxonomy): Eukaryota > Metazoa > Chordata > Mammalia > Primates > Hominidae > Homo > Homo sapiens. The sequence goes on along the minus strand of NC_000011.10, from coordinate 99,561,389 downwards.
AATCTTTTATCTATATCAATATGGACTTATGAATATTCATTTATTTGGACTATAACCCAATATTTATTTATTTATTTACTTACTTACTTACTTACTTATTTGCTGAAATTGTCCCAGTTTTGGTTACTGGGAACTATCCCAGTTGGCTCCTACATCTCTTTGACACACCAGACTCTCATATTCTTTCTGGTTTTGTTTTGGTTTTGGTTTGTTTGTTTTAGCACTCGCTTACTTTCTGGCACTACAGGATACTCTAGAATGATTTATATATTTCTTGGCCCAGTCCTAGAATTAGGCTTCTCTCTAAACAGCCCTGGTTGCTTTGAGTAGAAAATGGTATAAATGGTATTAGAAACCGAAATGTTGATACTTTGTGTGTTGGTTGCTACTCAGACACATAGATTCTAATCCTTCTCAGCTGTTAGAGAAATGAAATAGGTATTAGTATATCTGCAGAAGTATACACACACCCACCCAAACACACACACATGTGTGTGTCTCAAATTCTAATCCATTATCACATGGATCATTCTAAACTTCTTCTCTTGCTTATTGTAATCTCCCACACCAACAGTGAGAAACCTGGCCTCCACCATCTGCCTTCCATGGACTTAGTTGTTCCAGTATACATGTTTATGGATTTTAGGAGTGCTGACATGGGAAAAAATATTATTAACTAGAGTGCAGTGCTTAAGTACAGTATTTTTTGCCTTTAGTTTTGCAGACTCATTTCTGAAGTTATTTAAGTCTGTTTATCCCCTAACTCCCCTAAGTGAAGTTGCTTCCTATTAATAATACAGGCTGGGCGCGGTGGCTCACGCCTGTTATCCCAGCAGTTTGGGAGGCCGAGGCAGGCGGATCACCTGAGGTTGGGAATTTGAGACCAGCCTGGCCAACATGGTGAAACCCACCTCTACTAAAAATAGAAAAATTAGCTGGTCATGGTGGCACACATCTGTAATCCCAGCTACTCGGGAGTCTGAGGCAGGAGAATTTCTTGAACCCGGAGGCAGAGATGGCAGTGAGCTGAGATAGCTTCACTGCACTGCAGCCTGGGAGACAAGGTGAAACTCCATCTCAAAATAATAATAATAATAATAATAATAATAATAATAATAATACAGTTAGATTCTTTGTCATATTCTGCTTTTTGTCCTCAGATCCTCTGACCTACTACTATATATTTTTTAAATATGCAAACATTATGGTTTACTCCATGCTGGAAAGTTCTAGTTGATTTTGATAAATGTGTAATATCTTGCATCCATGATTATAGTATCATACAAAGTAGTTTCAATGCCCTAAAAAATGTCCTTTGCTTCATTTACCCATTCAACCTTCTCCCTGACCCTGGCAATCACTGATCTGTTTATAGTCTCCACAGCTTTTCTCTTTCCAGTTGTTATATAAAGAAAATCATATAGCATGTAGTCTGTTCAAACTATCATCTTTTTTTCAATTAGCCATTTGTATATAGAATCCATTAATATGTTTGTGTAGTTTGGTATTGGTAATTCATTCTTTTTTATCACTGAATAGTATTCCATTGTATAGAATTCCATAGTTTAATCACTTATTGAAGGACATTTGTTGTTTCCAGTTTGGGGTTATTATTACTAAATCTCTGGTAAACGCTTATATGGTAGTTTTTGTGTGGATATAAGTTTTCAAATCAGTTAGGTAAATGCCTAGAAGACCTACTGTTTGATCATATGACAAAATTGTGTTTAGCTTTGTAAGAAACTGCAAAACTGCCTTCCAAAATGGCTATACCATGTTGAATTCTCACTGTCAATGAGAGTTCCCATCAATCTGTATCTTCACCAGAATTGGTATTGTTTTTATTAATTTTTATTTATTTGGATTTTAGCCATTTTGATATCTGTAGCAATATATCATTGTTGTTTTAATTGTGGATTCATTTTTAATATAAGGTTGCCTGTTCTTGTGAAAGATGCCAAGCTTTTATGACTACCTGTAGTGAGTTTTCAAACATAGAGTTAGGTAAGAGTTCTTTTCCGTTTCTTAGACACACCCAAGATAATCCGTAGATTTTCAAAAACTGAATAAATAAAGGAAATATGGAATACAATCAGGGTATTCTTCAGTTAGTCTTTTTGGTTCAAACAGCACCAACAACGTAAAATGTGCTCGTGATCCACAGCTTAATGGCCCTCATTTTCGTAATAGTAATTAACTCAGTGTGCCAAATAGGCCCTATAATGTGACATTCATATACAGCTAAAAGCAATAACCAGTGAAAATGAAATAATAAAATACTAAATATTTAAAATAGTGAGGGCAATATAGAGTGTAAGCATTAACCAAGGAACAAAAGCAGAATAGGGGCTCCACCTCTGAAATAGTATGATAAAATGAGGATGAAGGCAAATGAAAGATTTTGAACATAATCATTCTTGATAAATGATCCTTTCAAGTATCCTAATCAATTTTATTTTAAACAGATATCTACAGCAAAAAAGAAATTCATCTGTTTAAAAAAGCAACTGAATATTTGCTGCACATCAACCGCAGATATGATGATTAAAGATCAAATCCCATGTAGCAATTGTACATGACCTTTGTTTTCAACTTTTCTTTCTGCTTTGCCTATAACATTTGAAATGCCACTCATACCCAAACTCTTCCTAATTATTTCTGTCTTCCAATGTTTCCTTTATTTCATGAAATGAATAGTAACTTGATTCCAGTATTAGCTGGAAATCTAGGGATCATGGACCCCATATCAGGCTGAGTATTTTTGTGTTTGTTTCCACAACCACTGTATAATAGCTCTTTTGCAGGGACTGTTTATTTGAGGAAACAATATTGGACAAATACAAGAGAATGAAACTTTACAGTATTATTATAGAACACCACCTTCTTTCTTTCTAGCATTGTCAGATTAATAAATAAAAGCACTGGACATCTGTTAAATTTAATTTCTAGATAAAATGAAATAAAATATTGCATGGAACATACCAGAGCTAAAAACAAAACAACAACAAAAAACATACACACAAAACTTTCTTTTGAAATCCAAATCTAACTGGGTGTCCTTTATTTCATCTTGCAACCCTACCTCCATCTCCTTCAGTTGGCTTATAAGTTCAAGAGGAAAATGACATTGAGAAGATAAAAGAGAAACAACTGAGATCAGCAGGGAAGACAGTAATGCTGCACAAAAAAAAGAAACCCAACACTGAATAAAATATCTGAAGACTCTTGATTTCTTTTTTAAGTAACCATAATATTGATGAATCACAGTTTTCACTTAACTCTTAATGCCTTTGAGATACCTTACCTTTTCATGTCATAGATGTCTCTACCAACTTTTTATAGAGGTATCCTTTTTCCTTGCATGTCTCTTATTAAACCTGTTTTTTCTGTAAGCAACGTGTTGAACGTATAATAGTACTAATATATAAATAATTACTTGGTTTTTTGTTTTTTCAGTTATTTAATTACTAGTATTGCAATAAAAAGGCTTTTATATATCTTGTAAAAGCATTTAGATGAGTGCAGGTATGCTGCAGATATTACATTCAACACATAACAACTTATATAACTGAAATACTAAATTTATTTCTGTATATAAAGAAATTCTTTTAGATTTCAAATAATGTTTTGGAGCATAATCTGATAAGTTGAGGATTGCCTTTTCAGTTATAAAGAAGACTCATATATCATACATAATTGAAGTTATACTTTTGGTACATTACGAATAGTAATAATAGTATAAAGGCTAAAGAATAACCATTGTAAAATTATAATTTAAAAAATATAGCTTAAATGATTCTAAAAAGAGTTTATATTTTCTTGTATTTGGGTTTGTTCTTCTATCAGTCCTTTTTTCTTTAGACAATCTGCAGTTTTCTTCATGTTACACAATACAGGAAAGACTTAATTGACAGGAGAATGTGTTTAGTTCTTTGAAATAAAGAAATTTAGTATAATCAATTAGATATTTTTGTTGCATAGTAATATAACCATATAGAAGATGAGGCAATATTAGTGATCATATGTAAATAATATGCATGTTCTATATCTTTATGTAGTTTGTATTCTATATTATATATGATCATAAATACATATCTTGAACATGTGTTATCCTCATATATATGTATAAATGGAACATGTATGTATTTATATCAATATTTGCATAGAGTACTGAATGATCATATATATCAAAATGAATATTTTACTGCTTTAAAAATATATTTAGTATAATTAACACATTAAAAATGTGTTTAAAATGAAAGCAATCTTTTAATCTAAAATTATCAGCTGTTACATTTTATTTCAGACTCTCTTACCATACATACTACCTAAATTTAGCCCACAATATAGGTACTGATTTAAATATAATCAAGCTGTAAATGTTACATGCATAGCGCTTAAATTATGACCACAATTTAATTTCTAATCATTCTTCAATTAAAGCAAATAAGCTCTGACATATTAACTTTAGGCATTATGATATTATTACTACCAATACTATAAACTTTTCTTCGGAATAAAGTATCTCATTTTAGAGTCAAGATATAGAAAAATAAGTTTAATTACAACAAAGTCAGAGAAGGTGAGACAATCTGAAAAAATACATTGTGTTAGAGATGCCTTTAGATACTGTGTTATATATAATAAAGCTAACCTGATTCTGTTTTATATGGTGAAATTTAGCATTGTGATGAGACACTTTTATAATTAGCTGCTATAAAATACATAATTATTTATATACATATACATTATATGCATAAATATATGCACATATGTATGTATATATGTGTGGGAGATATATATATATATATATATATATATATATATATATATATTTCCAAGCCTTCTGAAAGCTAGATGGTTTAGATTGCAAATGAATGTCAAGGAGGTAAATACTCATTTTATTAACATTTATAGTGTACCTTATTATATTAAATTGTATATGGCATTTTGCAATGTTAACAGCGGCTTAAGGGTTGCTGCCTTTCTCTTGTTGGAAAGTATAAATACTGATATAAATTTAAATTAATACCTGAGGATATTTTGTAATGGAGACCTTGATATATTTTGGTTATTTTGATACTTAGAAAATCAAATAATTAATTAATCAGGACTTTTACCTGAAAGACACATGGTGACTGACAGAAACAGCATTAGTTTCCAAGAGGAAGCCATCCTCAGTCACTAGAATCTTCTGTGTCTCAATGTGTTTAACAGCTCTGGTGTTTCTTCATTAAAGAGTGCCCTGTTTGAGATAGATAACAATTTTCTTAAACAGAGGAAATAAACAAACAGAAAAGCCAACAAATACAAACCAATGCAAAAATCTCCTAATAACATGATAAATAACCATTAGTGCAAAGGTCAGATTAATATGCACTAGACAGCAATAATACAGTTTCTGTTAGAATTCATGTAATACACAATACAAGTACTTAGGAAATGTGATCAACTCTCCTTTTCACATTTATCTACATTGAATACTCCCATACAGATAGTAAAAACATCAGGTTCTAATGGGGATAATTTTTCCTCACAGGGAATGTGTAATAGCTATATTTATTACCTTAGACAAATTATTGGACTAGAAAAATAGGGTAGAGAAACCAGTTACATTAATATATACTCCTTTGGTCTAGAGCATAACTAATGATCGGTTGGCCAAGTGATTTTACACATTGTGCCTGTAGCTCATCAAAACCACCACAGGGAATTTTTCTCATTTAATTATTAATGTCAACTTCCTTTGTTTATAACTCCTATGATTATCTGTACTGTGTTATAGTTCTCTCCTTTGGTGAATTATTTCTTTCAGTATCTTTTGCTGGCTGGAACGTAAGGGAAAAAGGATTTTCATGAATATTTAATGTTTTTGTCTAATGCCATTTTTATAACAATAACCAGTATAGCACATTAATATATTTGGTTCCTTTTTTTCCCTGAATGATACAATAAACATGAAAAGAATAGAAAATTCTGACACTAAACTTTCTGCAAGAACTTGACAAATATATATTGGAAGTTTCTGTAATCCACAAGTACCTCCAGAATTTTCACGTGTCAGCTATGTTCTCCTTGGCGCAAAGCCGTTCAGTTGAGAAATAATTGTAAAGTATGTCAATGATTTTTGAATAATGATTGCCTTCTTGGTATCTGATCCCTCCTTATGAAATTAGAAGTCTAGGTTATCTCTATATTTTAGGAAACATCTGAAAAATATAGACACGTATTTTTTCCCCTAGCTAGATCATAATGTAATATAGTTATGTCAAAGAAAGGAATTTATTGTTAGTACCTCTACCTAAATGAAGTTACTTCCATTTTTATTTATAATTTTAAATATAAGTCTTGGTAGTCTATTTTAACTTTATATTTGGGGATCATTAATGGAGAAGAAAGTTAAGACAATAATGGTTAATTTATTTATAACAAGCCTAAACAAAAGAATTTTTTCATCATTTTCTGTATTTTATGAGTAAATATCAGATATACATATAATTCAAAGTACTAAATAACAACCTCATAGCTAATTGTGACAATTTAAAGCATCTTGGTTATTTATACACTGCTTTTTACCAGAAAGGAAAATAATAAAATCCACATATCACACATAATAACTGGAGAGATTAAAGTTGCCAGAAGTATGATTATGACTCATGAGAACTGCACAGTTGAGTTAGCAAAGTTTCAATTCATGATTAAATTGACCTTTTTTGAAATTGTGAATTCTGAGAAGGTAATATAGCTTTGGCTTAACTCATTTTTATGAGCTTGTGCTCAGTCCCATACTCCCCAAATTGGTACTTCTCGCTCTATTTACAATGTCCTAAGGTCCTCTGTTGTTCTAAATATTCTTCATAAACAAATACAAATGTTATTACAACCCTTAAGGGCTGTTTCTGGGACTGTCAGAGGGAAAACCCACAGACATTCATGTGCACACACATACATGGGTTGAGAGCCATCAAAAGGAGCATTGACTCATGAAGATAGCAGGAGAAACTGGACACAGTAGCAAAGGATCTTCAGTAAAATTTCAAGGAGTTATTGGTCTTAGATAAAGAACTTATTTTTGAGTGGAACAGTGTGGAAAGACTGACAAGGAACACATGGATAAATAAGTCAGTGTCAAACAGTGATACATACTCTGAAGAAATTAACAGAGTAAAGGGACAACCTGTGACCGGAGGATAGAAGGTGAGATTTTAGTAGGAATGCATGTGAAGCACTTTTCATAAGATGCCATGTAGGGGTGTTATGAAATAATCTTTAAGTATAAACTCCAGGCACATTTTTCCTACTCTCAAATATAAATGGTACACTGAATTTGATTTCTAAAATAACTTATTTTATGTTAAAATCTCTTGTAAAAGAAGAAGTGTGTGTGTGTGTATGTGTGTGTGTGTGTGTGTGTGTGTGTGTGTATTCATTTTCAAGCACCAGTGCTTGGTCCTTAGGGCATAAACAAAATAATATTTCTTAAATACACACAACATAATATTTCTTAAAAAGTCATTCTTTTTAAGATACATAATTACATTATATTTTATTTTTGCTCTCCTCCCTTATTCTCTCTCTCTTTTTCTCCCTTTCTGTCTCTTTCTAGTATTGAGATTATTAGTTTGTGCTTTTTCTATTGACAAATTGTAGCTGTATACATTTATGTAGTACAACATAATGCTTTGATATGTATATAAAATATAGTATAATTAAATCAAGCTAATTAAGATATCCATCACCTCACTTACGTATCATATTTTTATGATGAGACATCTGAAATTTACTCTCTTGGTTTTTTTAAAATACATAATACTGAAGGACATTAAGCTAAGTAAAATAACTCTTCTGAGTAAAATAAAAAGTAAATGAAATAATATTTAAGATTCTGAAATATGTAAACTTTTTACACGTTTCTTTTGAAAACATAGTTATCCGATGACTTTAATAAAATTCCTGCATCAAAGAAATGACAATATAATTAATTACACATATATTAGGTTCCTACTAGATGCAAGGTTAAGTTATAATCAATGAATAAAAGTTACCAAAGCAAAGAGAAGGATGTGTATTTGGAAATGCCTTTTTGGCTACCAGTTTAATGTACCAGTTTACATTAAACTGCTGTGCATTGTGAGATTAAAAAGTCACAAACAGGAATTTGGAAACTACTAATTGGAATTTGTTTAATCTCACATTTTTAAAATAACTTATTTCAATTCTTAGAATATGTACTTTCTGTCAACTATTACATTCAAAGAATAATGTATGAAATGACATCCCATTTCTTGGCATTTTCCTCTGAACTATTGCAAATATTTGCAAGTAGAGTGCAATAAGTAGATAATAGTGTTCGGATTCAGTCATAGATTACAAAGAATAAGTGCATTGTGAGGTTGACTGCATGTACAAATACTTTAAAGCATTACACCTTAATAGGTCTGAATATATGTCTACGAAGTAAGTCAAGTAATAATAGTATATTTCCACTTGGTTACAAGTTAGTCTTTTAAAAATGCAAGGTGTTAATAGTGCATACATCTGCAAATTAAGAGAGAGAGAGAGGGAGAGAACCAGCGAGAGAAAGAAATATCTATTACAGACTGCTGGTTTCACCAATTCTATACAGTTTTGCCCACGGCCGTATGCAATCCGGTCCCTGTCTAACTTTTTAATTTCATCTTCTAACTTTTTAGACTAACTCCATTCCCACAACACTGACTTTCTTGCTAGTCCTCAAGCATGCCAAGCACATACTGTGTCCTCTGCCTAGGCCTCTCCAACATCAGTTTTTTCCATACCTTAGAGTTTTAAATCATTGCAGACTGTTCTTTCTAGAAGCCTTTCTTGGTTACTCTCCTTAAAATAGCAAGCCCCCTCCTGTCAGCTCTGTCACTGATTTTTCTTACATTTGCCCTGCCTTATTTTTATTCTTAGCAATTATCAGTGCCTGAGGTTAAACTAGTCTATTTACATCTTAGTTATCTTTTTCTCCTACTAGAATGTCATATCCATGGAAGCAAGGATTTTTGTCTTGTTTATCTTTACAGAACCAGCATCTAGAACAGTGACCACCATAGAAAGTATTCAATTATTATTTTTTAGATAATAATTATTGAATAAACTGAAGTCTCTAGGAAATAAATTTTTTGGCAAAATATAATACAAAAAAAAAAACACAAAAACTGACCAGGTGCGTAGCTCATGTCTGTAATCCCAGCACTTTGGGAGGCAAGGCAGGCAGATCACTTGAGGTCAGGAGTTTGAGACCAGCCTGGCCAACATGGTGAAACCTTGTCTCTACTAAGAATACAGAAATTAGCTAGGCCTGGTGGCACTTGCCTATAATACCAGTTACTTGAGAGGCTGAGACATGAGAATCACTTGAACCAGGGAGACAGAGGTTGCAGTGAGCCAAGATTGTGCCACTGCACTCCAGCCTGGGTGATGGAGTGAGACTCTGTCTCAAAAAAAAAAAAAAAGAAAAAACTCAGTGTTTCTTAGATTTTCATACTACAGTCATGTGCTATATAATGACATTTCAGTCAACGTTGAACTGCATATATGATGATGTTCCCATAAGATAATTATATTTTCTGTACTTTTCATATGTTTAGATACACAAATACTTATTGTGTTATAATTGCCTACATTATTCAGTACAGTAACATCCTGTACAGGTCTGTAGCCTAGAAGCAATAGACTATATTACAGGCTAGATCTGTAGCAAGCTGCACCATATAGGTTTGTGTAAATAAACTCTACAGTGTTCACACAATGATTATATCACCTAAGAAGATATTTCTCAGAATATGGCTCAGTCATTAAGGGATACTTGACTATCCTAATAACAACTACCATTTATTAGATAAATTACAAGCATTGTGTTAAGCACTTTACCTACACAATCTCTAGGACATCTCTTATTGATGAAGCTAATTTGCCCCAGTTAATAAATAATGTTAACCCTTAAGCTCCATCACGTCTTAAGATTCCAAAGCAATCCCTGTGAGAGACCAGACAACCTTTACTCTGACACAATTGGGACTGGTACTGAGTTAATAAAAAACCCTTTAAAAACACTTAATTCACATATGCCTTAAATGTTTGCCATCTAATATTTAATTCTGTATTCTTAATATACAGAATATATATGCCAATTATTATATAGCAGTGACATCTTTTTATGATTATAAAGATTCTGGTGGAAAAAATGATTTCTTTTAACTCAGCATCACAGGAAACTGCAGTGTATAAATAGTGCCTGTGTTGCATCATATACAACTTTAAATTTATTTAAAGTGGCCTAAAAACATATGAAGTGATCTGATGGCAGGATTCTTGGAGGCTTTCATTATTTTTATGCAGTTATTTCATACGTACATTATAGCATTTTTAAGTGACTATCTTATAAAGTTTAGGGCTTTAGCCTTAAACAAACTTTTTGCCAAATGCTCTTACTCTTGGTACTCTCATGTAATCTGTGATTTCCAAAATGCTTATTTAACTTACGTAATTACAATAACATGGACAACTTATATAACTAGACTTGTAACAAACACAACTGAATCTTGGTAAATATGTGACTGAAAAAGTGGCAGTGAATAAACTAGAGATTAGCCTACTTACCTGTTAATATCATCTATATTCTGAGTTATTTTCATTTATTAAGGTAATGATGGATGTTAGTTATTCTGTGAAATTAGAACAGTAGAGGTTGAGTAAAAGTGTTTCTACTCCCACTTGCATGTGATAAGGCCTCAATGTGAGGGCCTTGTATGTAAATTTTGGTGAAAGGAATAAAATGAAGAAACATCTCTTTTTCCGTGGACCTTATTCTCCATCTCAACCATGACTCTTTGCTAAGACTGAAGCTTGTGACATTTTGCTTGGAAGTTCCCTTGAAAGGCTGAATAAGGTTGGAATAGGGCTCATAGAAAAGGAACATAAAATAAGTTTTTGAGGTGAATTGCTTTCAAGATATCCTTGAAGTTATCTAGCTCAATGCACCTGGGGAAAAAAAATAGATAACAAAATGTGGCCAAAGTTATAGCAGGAATAAAGAAGAATGTGTCTCCTTATTGCTTGCTGTCATATATCTTTTGAGGACCAAGCAGCAAAAAAATATTTTGGCTTTCAAATTTAGCCAGATTGAGTTATGATATTGTTTATCTTAGAAAAGCAAATGACAGTTTTGTGTCCTGGACAAAGTGCTAAGAGATGTAGTGAGCAGACTGAGCTCACAGTGTTCACATGTTTTGGAGGCATTCTTTTTAACATGATTTTCTATAGTGTGTTAAACACCGTGAGGCATAGTGAAGATCAGTTTTTCTTACTCTTTTAAATATAAACATTTTTTAAGCCTCAACAAAACCTGCGTGGAATAGGGTCCAGCAAAAATTTTAAAAGGAGCCACACTAGTTTTCTGAGACTTCAAGTCAACTTTATAATTTTATTTAAAATATAAGAGTAGAAAAAGTATGGTTCGAGATTACTTACTACTCAAAAGTATAATTAATGGATACTGGAATCAGAAAGAAAAAAAGATAACTACTCTAGAATCTGATGCCAGAAATAGTTTGTGATTCCTACCACCTAGTGACTGATATTAGAACAGGGTAAAGACACAACTATGGCTCACGACTCCACATAAATTCTGACAGGCCTTGTGTTGTGTTGGGATGCTGAATACCATTTCATGGCTGAGTGGCAGTAGATTTCCTTTCTGGCAATTTGGGAACTGGATATCATGACTAAGAAGGAGTATGTCCTTCTTAAAGTAATACAGAGAATATTATAAAATATTCTTGAATGCCTCAGTGAACTACTTAGGAAGAGAAAAACGTACTAGATGTGAAAGCTAAATAAGAGTGGTAAGCTGGGAACCAAAGAAGACTTTACTATTCAGTGACTTTGCAATTCTCAATGTACTTCAGATTTATGTATATGGCTGCTTTGGAAGTGGGGGACCAAAACCAAAGCCTAGGGCCCACACAGCTGGGTAATCAAATAGGAGAATCCATATGTCTAAGATCCCAAAGGGATATCTCTCTAGAGAGATACTCCATTCATAAAAGAGTAAAATAGAATTTTCAGGTCTAAACTATGGGAATAAATAGAAGTAGAAGGAATAAAGAAAATCTCAATAGTCAAAAATTCAGTCAAGAGTCATGTCACTTACAGGAAAAGAAATCACTAAAAGTGAGAGTCAATAGAAATGATAAAGGTCAGAATCATACCAGCAAAGACTTCAGATATTTGACTTTTCAGGCATATTACTTGTGTTATAAAAAAAAAAAAGGAATTGACACCATGAGAAAGAGGAAATAGGAATAAAAAGATTACCTAAAAGTAGCCCAGAAAGGCAATAGCTGGAAGCTATGGAAGAAAGAAACACAATGATAGTGAAAAGGTCTTAATATGTCTAATCAGATTTTTTTGAGTGAGAAAGAAAATGGGATGAGGCAACATGTGAAAAGATAGATAATTGCTAAGATTTTCCAGAATTGATAAAATTTACCAATTTTAAGATTCTTAAAGACCAGAGAAATCCAAAAAGAAGAAATACCTGTGCACATCATATTGAAAATGGAAAATACTAAAACCAAAAAGCAGCCAGAGAGAAAAAGAAAGTAACTATAAAAGTAGGAAAACCAGACTCGCATTTGACTTTCTGATAGCAAGAATGAGACTCAAAAAATTAAAATAATGTACTGTGAGATACAAACAAATGAGAATAATGTACTTTATTGCTAAAGCAAATAAGGAATCCATTAGCCGGAGGATGTCTCCCTAATTCAAGCACTTAGATAAGCAAACTGAAACTTAACTTGGAAACCTTCCCCGTAACTGACTGAAGAAAAATAAGTCTCAGCCAATCACAAACATTCAACCAGCGATTGGCTATACAATTATGGACCTCCAGTCAGCTCATGTCCAAATAAGGCAAACACTTAGCTGTAGCCAATCAGGTAATTTTTCAACTTTGCTTTTATGTTCAGCCTACAAATTCTCACTGCTCAGACTGATAGAGAAGAGCTCTCTGAACCTCTTTCAATTTTGAGTGCTGCCTGATTTATGAATCATTATTTGCCTAAATAAACTGTGAAATTTAACTTGTCTAAGGTTTTTAGCAATGTACTATTCCAGACCCAGTGAAAATTTATGTAAAGGACAGGAGAGAAATACCTCTTTCTATTAAATCAAAAACTGATTTTTCCAAAAATAAATCCTTACAGAGAAAAATAATAATATTTATCAGACAAAAGGAAAAATAGTAACTGCAGAAGTAAGCTATAAAATTCATAAAGGGAAAAATAACAATAGAAAACACATATAATTGTTATTACCTGCCAGGTACTGTTCTAAGTGCTTTTCTAGAGGAATTCATTTTACAAAAAGAACCATATAGGTAAATATATTATTTCCATTTTACAGATAACGAAGCTGGGGCACAGAAAGGTTAAGCAAATTTTCTAAAGTTGCACAACTACTAAGTAAACTGCATATTAATATCTAGACAGTCTAACTCCAGAAGCCATGTCTTTAACCAACACACTGAACTATCTGAAAGAATAATGAGTCAAAAATGTGGTGATTGTCTTTATAAATCAATAATAATCATATCCTTTAGGGTAAAAAGTAAGACAAATATAAAGTTAAGATAATGGAAGATAGTAGCATATAAATTAAGAGAAAGTGGCTGAAGTTAAATATTCAACTTGTATTACTCAGAAGGAGGATAATGCAATTAACTTTAGATTTTTGTAAAATATCTATGTTAAATTTTCTAGGGTAACTGCTGGAAAATAAATTATTCTGAAAATGAATTCATATCCATCTTAAATCTTTACAACCTCCTGCTGTTTGGTAATAAAACAGATACACACCTGAAATTATTTATTAAAAACTCTTTTACATACAGTTTAGCATATAAGGCAACTTTCTACATTTCCTATAAAACAGAAACCTAAATTTTTAGTCTGGCATTGCAGGCTCCCTATAGTCTATCTCAAATGATTTGTCTGCCCACATACCTTCCACTGCTCCACTTCAAACATTTATAGCTCAGCTAATGAAAATAATTTTCGACCAGGCGCGGTGGCTCACGCCTGTAATCCCAGCACTTGGGAGGCCGAGGCAGGCGGATCACCTGAGGTCAGGAGTTCGGGACTAGCCTGACCGACATGGAGAAACCCTGTCTCTACTAAAAAAATACAAAATTAGCCGGGTGTGGTGGTGCATGACTGTAATCCCAGCTACTTGGGAGGCTGAGGCAGGAGAATCGCTTGAACCCAGGGAGTGGAGGTTGCGGTGAGCCAAGATCGTGCCGTTGCACTCCAGCCTGGACAACAAGGGCAAAACTCTGTCTCAAAAAAAAAAAAAAAAAGAAAATAATTTTCATTCACAAACCTAATTTGTGTTGTGTATCTTTCATGAAAGACTCACACTCACACTCTTCCCTATAACATTTCTTACTTCAAAATATCTAGCTTTGTCAGAAATGAAATAAGTCACTTAATTAAGAGTCAGTGCAAAGATCTTAACGTAAGAATGGGCTTTGCGTGTCCAAGCTGCAGAGAAAAGGCCATCATGAGTGCAAAGTAATGCCCAGGAGTAAGTGGTAGGAGATCAAGCCTGAGGATCATAGAAGGCCAGACCGCAAAGTATCCATAGGTCAGTGAAAGGAGTGTGAATTTTATTAAAAACACCATCATAAATAAATAATCATATAACTAAATTTCAAAAGTTCTCTGATAACTTCCAATACTACCTATATATTTTTTGCAATATAATATACTGTCAAGTGAAGAGTCATGAGATCTACAAATGTGAGGAGGAGACTTTATTTATTATAAAGGGTTATAGCCTGCAGGGTGTCCATCTTGACAGGCTGTAACTCTTTATAACAACTAAAGTTTCCTCTCTCAATTTATAGATCTTGTGATTCTTCAGTTGATATATCTGACAGATGAGCTTGGGGTTCTGAATGGGATTCATAGTTCCTCCTGTATCCTTTTGAATATGTATTTTTAAGCAACCTGTTTGTATAAATTCCTGTTCCACCCTCCCCTCCCTCAAAGTGCCTGCTAATGGTCTTTGTGGAAGGCTACCCTTTCTAGCCCATCAGAATGGCCACCTTGCAGGACATAACCCTTTATGAAAAATGAAATCTTTCCAAATTTATAGATCTTATCAAGCTTCCATTGACAGTACACAGCATCAAATGACATTCCATCATTACAGAGAAGACAAAGAGACGTGACAAAGTAATAGGATTTCCCTAATGCCCCCAGTAATTCAAACTCGGCATCAGAATTAGAGCTGCACCTTCTCATTCCTGGTCAGCAGGTCTAAATAATGTACTCATGCTGACTTTTTCATTTCCTACTGATAGGAAAATCTATTCAAAGTCCAAGTTGTTGAAGAATTTAAGAGAACAGATTTGTATCCATTTTAGGAGAAGTTCTTCTAATAATGAGTGGGACGACTTAGGAGATGAAGCCCTGGCTACGTGCAGGGAGAGAATGTCTCACACATTCCAAAATGTGCAACTTACGGAAAAGGGGACTTGGGTTACTGCTTCCTGGAAAACAAACCAGTGAGAACATGAGAACACCTGTTCAGGGTTCTGCATGAACAAGTAAGTCGACTAAATTCTGACTTAAATAGTTTTCAACATATAATTTGCAGAATATATACTCTGCACAACAGTGAGAGGTAATAAATATTTCACATGGATAAATTTGTTTTCTGAAAAAGTTAGTGGAGCAATGAGGAAACCTGAAAGATTTTGAGTTTTAAAAATTTCCTTTGTATAACGTGATATGAATAAGATTTTAGGGCCATGGTCTCTAGCAAGAGAAATAAACCCATATTTACTCTGTTATTTAAATTCTCTTTTAATTTAATTAAATATGAAAATAAGGATCTTTGGAAGGCAGTTAAGTAAGAGTAATTATGCTTGGTTATTGTTGGCTAAATTGGGCTTTTAATGATTTACTTAAAATTTAACCCACATCCCCTTGGAAAAATTGGCATTTTGAATCACTATCTTCATCTGGCAGTCGAAACCACAGGGCTAAATTGCATTTAAACAATGTCTTGTTATAGGCACATAGTTAAACTGGGAATTGTAAATAATTCCAAGGCAATGTTTGAAACAGCAAATAGAAATACCCTTAGGAGTCATATACATTTTTGTACTTCATTTCCACATTAAACCTTTTTACCTGAAATATTCATATTCTCTAAAGGCAAGGCAAATGTCTGATAAAAAATAAGCCAAACAAACAACAAACTTGGGAACGTATTCTGTAAAAATATATACTATAGTTATAAAATATTAGGCAGATCCCCTGGTGGAATTTTACTCACAATGTGACAAGAATCTGTAAGAGTGGTCTTCTATGTTGTTGGCAAAGGAATTACAAAGAAATCTCAATGAAGGAAAAAGAGATACTACAGGGATATGCAGTGGATGTTTTTATATCTCAAACTTTAATCCAAATGGCTATTATTGATTTTTTCCCCCACACAGTAATGACTGAGAAGCATTGTGATCAAGTAGATAGGAACTAGTAAGGAAAGTAAAGAAATCTGAATTCTGGGCAAAGCCAAGTCCCTAATAAACTGCCTCTCTCTATTTTAGCTTCTTTATTCTGTGTCCAGGTAGCACCAGCCTTTGCAGACTCCTAGGAACCAGTTACCTGATTTCATTAACTCCTTTGAAACCTCACAGATAAAAAAAAAATTCAGTAGAGTCACTATAATTTCTCCACATTGTTTCTGTTAGTTAAATGGCTTTAAAAATTCTTAATACTGTTTATTTCAGAAACAAGCATTTAAAATAATTACTCAAAAAGAAAGCTATTGGATTTTTCAATCCCTGACTCAGTTCTTCAAGCAGATAATAATTTCATTATGTTCTCAGCACAGTACCTAAATAATCTGAAGCAGTCATTCTACATAGTATAAATAGCACATTTAATTTACATGAGTTTAAATGTCTTTTAATAGCTGCTGATCTCAGAATATGCCTAATACAGTTTGATGTTGTAACCTCTAAATCTCATGTTGAGTTGTAATTCGCAGTGTTGGAAGTCGGGCCTAGTGGGAGGTGATTGGATCTTGAGGGTAGATATTTCATGAACAGTTCAGCCCCGTCTTCTCAGTGCTATACTTGCAATAGTGAGCGAGTTCTCACAAGATCCTCTTGGTCCTGCTTCACCTTCCACCGTAGTAAAGGCTTCCTGAGGCCTCCCCAGAAACTAAGCAGATGCCAGTGCCACGCTTATACAGCCTGCATAACTGTGAGCCAATTAAACCCCTTTCTTTATGAATTATGCAACTTCAGGTATTCTTAACAGCAACACAAGAATAGTTTAACACAATGTCCCTATATTTAGAAAAGTTTTCAAGGTAATACTACCCCTACTTTATTTCCTTTTTTTTTTTTTTTTTTTTGTTTTTTTGAGACAGACTCTCTCTGTTACCCAAGCTGGAGTGCAATGGCGCAATCTCAGCTCACTGCAACCTCCGATTCCTGAGTTCAAGCAATTCTCCTGCCACAGCAGCCTCCTGAGTAGCAGGAATTACAGGCGTGTGCCACCACGCACAGCTAATTTTTGTAGTTTCAGTAGAGATGGGGTTTCACCATGTTGGCCAGGCTGGTCTTGAACTCCTGACCTCAGGTGATCCACCCACCTCAGCCTCCCAAAGTGCTGGGATTACAGGCATGAGCCACCGCACCCGGCCTAATTTCTATTATATCTAATAAAGCAACAATAACTATGTATTGTTTATCTAGGTTCATTGTGCCTTGATATTTTTAGACCATTGTGATTGACTCACACAATCTTTGAGATGCTCTGAGAAATGTCAGAGCAGATTAAGAAAGTAAGTCTAGCAGAGTTATGGCCTAACTGAATTTGATATCAGAAGTGCAAGTAAATGTGATGGTCAGCAAAGCCACCCACCAGAAAGATCCACTTGACAGATACCTTAATATTTTCCAGAAATGTATAATAAAAGCAGAAAGTACAAGAAATAGGTGACCACAGTCAATTGGCCAGTGACCCAAATATAAGATGCTGTATAAAATGAATGTGGACTATATTTAGCTATTCTTGTGCTATTGTTCATTTGCAGAAATCACTTCATTTCTGAAGTCCAAGAGCTTTATATTTCAAGGTTTGAATGCAGAGAAATATGATTCTGTAGAGTCAAACTGAGATTTTTATCACCCAGGAAAGGGAATAGCTAAAGTTGCAGATGTTTTGACAGAAAGAATTCTATTCCAGGAATATATATATAACAGAGCACAGATTATATATCAAGGATAAATTTAATAGAGGTGGCCAAATAAGGCATACCAGACAAGGCACAACACAAGGCCTTCAACTGAAAAGGAGGACCTATGGCCTTTATGAGGCAGCCTTGAAGATACCTTGCTCTAAGTTCCTTCCAAGGAAAAACTTTCAGTTCAGCTGCAAAGGGAGCAGTGAGCTGCCAGCTTCCAGTTGTTTGCAACTCCAGGATCCACCTCTGTGTCTTAGCTTGGGCCATGTGATTTCCCAGCAGCCCCAACCACTGACTGAGCAGGGTGGTGGTACAAGGACCTGTCCATTTCTGCCTAATGAGAGATGCCTCTAATAGGCAATCTTGGCTCTGGATGTACAAAGAGGGGTGGCCCAGGCTACTTATTTCCACCAGAGGTGATTTTGCCCTCCAGGGAACATTTAGCAATATTTGGAGATTTTTTTGTTGTTGTCACTGGTATGCTACTGGCATCTAGTAGTAGGGGCCAGAGAGACTAGTAAACATTGTGTTAAGTTGGCGCAAAAGTAAATGCGGTTTTGACATTGAAAGTAATGGCAAAACCCACAATTATTTTGGAACAACCTAATAATATTCAGCCTTCCTCAATGGGGACATTATCTTAAGTGAAATAAGCCAGACATAGAAAGACAGATACCATATGTTCTCATTCATATGTGGAATTTTTAAAAGTTAAAATCATAGAAGTAGTGAACAGAACAGTGGTTACCAGAGACTTGGGAGGGTGTAAGGGAGGAGGCATGGGAAGAGGTTGGTTACTGGGTACAAAGTTACAAATTTAAATGAAGAAAAAGTTACAGTGTCCTATCACACAGTAGGGTGACTATAGTCAACAATAAATTGCTAGAAGAGAGGAGTTGGAATGTTCTTACTACAAAGAAGTTATAAATGTTTGAGGTGATAGATATGTTAATTACCCTGCATTAATCATTACACAATGTATTAATGTATTGAAACAATACATTATATCCCATAAATACGTACAATTATTATATGACAATTAAAAACAAAGAGATAAATTTGGAAAGTAAATTATTGAAAATATTTGTCCCCACATTTCTTTCTTTTCTTTTCTTTTTTTTTTTTTTTTTTTTTTTGAGACAAGATCTCCCTCTGTCACCAAGACCAGAGTGCAATGGCATGATCACACCTCACTGTAGCCCTGCAGCCCCAATCTCCTAGGTTCAAGCTCTCCCACAACCTCAGTCTCCGGAGTAGCTAGGACTACAGGCACATGCCATCCTACGTAGCCAATTTTTTGATTTTCCATAGAGACGAGATTTCACTTTGTCGCCCAGCCTAGCCTCAAACTCCTGGGCTCAAGCCATTCTTTTGCCTTGGCTTCCCATAGTGTTGGGATTACAGGTGTGATTCACTGCACCTGGCTGAGCCCAAAATTTCAATAGTGCTGAGGCTGAGAAACCTTGACCCAGAATTCATCACATCAAAACATGATTTGAGGATTTCCCTGAGCAATCTTGTATCTTCCTCCTTTTCACAGGTGTCAGAGCTGCAGGTCAGTCCAATACCTTTCCTATTCAACTGTGCTCCATCTCCTCTTTGGCCCTCCAGTTGTTAACTCTCTCTTGGCATTTCTTATTCAGTGTAAGAGTTCTGATTTCTGGAACATCCAACTGACACCCTTTAATAAACATTTATTAATCATAAAAAGTACCAACCACCATACTAGCTGCTAAGAGAAAAGTATAAACAAGAGATGAACTGTATTTCAAGGAGATCATGTGTTAGAACATAGAAAACCTTCATAACACAAAATACAGTGAATATTAATATATTAAAATTCAATGGAAGCTCTACACTACAAGAAGTTTCAGGCATGCCCACTGTGCATGTCAGAGGATTCAGTCAGCTAGTGTACTGCTCATTTTTAACCTGGTGTCCTTAAATCTTCCAGAGTAGGGCAGAGTTATTTCTCAAGTGTGGAGTTGTTACGATTCTTCATATAGGGTTGGGCAGCATCTGTCAGAAGATGAAGGGTAAAGATTTAAGAGGGCAGGGAGATCCTGACTGAATGCTACACATTAAAGGGTAGTGTTTTTGCATAAAAGCAAAACTGATTATTTCTTTTTAACGTAGTATTACTGGCAGTCATTGGGCTACAGAATACATTTCAGACTGCTTTGGATGTTTATCAAGATACTTCTAAATTCGTTATAATTTGCCTTCGTAGACTTATCTAATATTTTTCCCATACATACCCTAGATTTTCATTCATTCCTCAGTGAGCACCTGTACATCTATCATATACCAAATTTCTGTGATAGGCAGATATAATAGTGAGAAAGACAGACATAGCCCCGTAGCTCAGACTGCTTTAGCAGTTGAGTATCATTTGCCCCTTTCCAAACTTAAGATGCTCTTCATTCATGCTCCTTCCCATGACTAAACTTTCTTTAGCTCTTGGTAGTCTATTTCTGCTCTATATTTTAAGTCTCATGCCTTTGAAAAAAATTTTTTCTTGACCTCTGCATTAATCTAACACTTTATTGTGCTTTTTGTAGCAATTAGTTTGTATCCCAGGCCACATCTATGTTATAATAATATAGCAATTATGAGTGTGTCTCCTGATCTGAACCTGTGAACACATTGAAAGTGCATGCCATATGTTGTCTACATTTGTCTTGAAGACACCCAGCAAAATGCCGTGCATTGTTAGGTACTCAATAAATGATCACATTTAATTTATTTATCTTTAAATTGTAAGCAAAGAAAATAATAACAAAATCCTAATATCAAATATACATTGTATGCACTTTTTCGTTCTTTCTTTGTCTCAGAACTTGAACACAACACATATTTAGTTATCATTAGTTCTTAGGCCTTTATCTGTGCTGTGCTTACTTCTATAGACTTTCCCAATATAGAAGCTTCTTACTCTACAGGTATCTTGTCTATATTATTGTTTTTCATAACATCCTTCAAAAAAGGCCACATCATGCAGGGGCAAAGCACAACAAAGAGAGTCCTTGTGGGACTTGTTCACATTTTCTCAGATGACACAGGAGAAAGAAGTATCTGTAACAGGCAAATTCACCATCTTTGCATATATTGGATGTAATTAATTCAACACTTTCACAAAAGAAGAAAGCACCTAAGATTTAAAATACATGACAAAAATGAGTATACTGGATCAAATTACTAAATCAAGTAGCTTAATTATTATTAAAACTGTGGGGCTAGAGATGAGGAAAATGATTTACATATATGGTACAAGGATTTTTATGTTGAACTCATTTCCTACAACACTTTAAAACTTTTTAATACTTTTGCAAAAGTGACTATAGTATGGGAAGTATGTGCAATATTACAGAAAGAACATGAGATTTGGAAGAGAAGACATGAATTTTAAATCTCAGCTGGACATGTTCCTGGCTGTGTGATAGTGTTTGATACTTTTAACTATTCTGACACTCCGCTTCCTCATGTGAAAAGGAAAGATAATTGGTAGTAATAATTATTTCATAAATTTTTATGATACTTACATGAAATAAATGAAAAATGCTAGAAATATAGGGATTCCATAAATATTTTTATCTTAGACTAGTTTTCTCTTTCAGCTTAAGATTTAAGTATAAAAGAACAATTATTAATGTTTAGAGAGGATTTAGGGAATAGATCACAAACAATAAAACGATAATTTGGGTCATGTGGAGAAAATAATAAGACCTAATCTTTATTTAAAGTCTACTGTTTCAGTTTAATAGTTTAAAGATTTATAAGACTAAGCTTTTAATATTACCAAATGATTTTTAATAGTAAAAATCATGTCATAAACAATCTCAAAATAACATTTACATCTTAACTAGGAATATAAAATTGTATTTCACTTTGCAATGAACTATAACATTGTGATAAAACTTAATTTTAAACTTATCATTTCATAATTTATGATCATTTAGACTAAATCTGGTATGAAGTTCAAGTTATCTATGAATAAAGCTTGCATATCTCCTGAGGTTCTCTTATTGTAGGTATCGTGTGGCTGGAAAAGTCATGGAGACATTTTTTAACCTATAAAATGGCATTGTGATACCCTACTCCACCTGGGTTTACATATTACATGGAGGAGGAGAGTTGCCAAACAGTATATTTCTTCAAGTAAAATAAATCTTTCTCTTGGTATCAGGAAAATTTAAGCATATTAATATTTCCTTTAAAAATTATGTTTGCAAAATAAATGTTTGAAGTCAATTTTATTCTGAAGCTGTGTATTTTTAGTACAAGATTAATTGTTCTTAGAAACAAGAGATACATGAAATGGGCAAACAGTTAACTTTAAATTGTGGTTGCAAAATAAAACAGTGATTGCAGCAGATACCTAGAGCAGTACTCACTGTTCTAAAACAGTTACAGTGGTTTAAATGCTAGTAATTTTGTTCTTTGCCATTTTCCACTTGACTTACTCCAATACATTCTTAAATCTGCCATGCGGAATGATATTAATGGTGCAACAAATTGACGAGGATTATAGGAATGTATCTATTATTTTTATGAGCATATTTAATTGTACGTGTTTCTTTAGGTTTCTAATTAAAACCGGCAGTAAAAATAACGCCTTTGTGTTTAAGCCTACAGTTTTAGACTTAAACACATCTCATAATTAGCGCTAATATACACATAGTTCAGAAAGATATAATGCTAACACATTGAAGTGGATTGGAAATCTTTTTATTCGTCCTATTATTAAAACAGACTCTTGTCAGCAGGGAAGGGGGCAACTAAATAAACCACTGTAAATAGAACGTGTGCTGCTTCAGTTTCTTTCACAGATTTCCTGATATTATAGATTAAATGTCAGAGAGATCAGGACATAAATGATGGCATGATCCCAAAGGGAAGAGTTTATCAGTTCCACTGTATTTAAAACTACATTGAACACTGCATATTTTAAAATACTGTCTCAAGGTTTTACTACAGACTTGAAGTGTAAGATGTAAAAGTCCACACATTTCTGCAGACTGGTGTGAGAATTTACCAAATAATAATCTCTAACTATTTCTACTCAGTACTAGGCAGCCACCAATTAGAGGACTGAATTCTCAGAGTCTCTAAGGGCAGTTCCACACTTCACATTTTCAATGGCAAATTGTATTTGACATTTAATTTAAAACCCAAGACACCATAACATGAAGTCTTCTAGGCCATTAATGATAAAGCATTAGAGTAGCCTCCCACCTCCTTGTTGCCTGAGGCTACCTCTGCTATTCCCTAGAAAGCTGTATCATTGCTGCAGCATCGTGTCCACGGGGTACTGTGTTCCTAACATGCCACTATAGTCTAAATACCAGGCATGGTTCTTAGATGTTTATTACATACTTCTTACAGCTGTTTGCCAATAAAATGCCACAGACAACATGAGCTCTGTAGGCCATAACCCATTAATTGAAGTTTTTGTGGTTGTGATGGTGGGGTTGGTAGTACTTACTGTTGTATTTTTAAAGAGAATGAGAAAGCATAGACAATTTTTAAAAATAAGAGAAGCGAAGAAGGGTGCTTAGTTATAAGAACACCCTGCTTGGTAATTACCATCTATTATTTCCATTGGGTGGGGAGGGGTCTTACTTACCTTTGAATTCCTTTTCAGTGAATCTAGTTATTTATTTGTGGTGTAGTTAAAATATGGGCTTTGAAACTAGACAGGTGTGGGTTCAACATCTGATTGTATTAGTTACTAATTGTGAATCTTTTAGGATTTTACCTAACCTCATTAAGACGATTTATTTGCTTGCGAAATGAGGATATGTATTCTGTAATTTTCAAAAAATTCTGTATGAATAAGATGATCTCAAGTTAGATTTCTTAATATGAGATCAAATCTTCCTAAGCAGAACAGGATTGCATTTAAGAGCTCATGCTCTGTGGTTAGACCATCCAGGTTTGAATTTCAGCTCTTCCTTTTTCCAGTAGCTAAAACTTGGACAACTTATTTAAAATCTCTAAGTCTGAGCTGTGGTAGCTTCTAACCACATATGGCTATTGAGTATTTAAAATGTACTTAGTCCATATTGAGATATTCTGGAAGTGTCAAATATATATGAAGCTTTAGTACAGAAAAAGGAATGTAAAATATCCCAGTTTAATAAATGTTGAAATGATTCTATTTTTGGATTACATATATTGGATTTTATAACACAATTTATTACGTTTTAATTGTTTCCTTTTTCTTTTTTTTTTTTTTAATGTGACTACTAGAAAATTTAAAATTACATATCTGGCTTCTTTTTGTGACTCTTTTTGTATTTCTATTGGGCAGGACTTCCTAAGCATTTTTCTCATCCATAAAACAGAGTTAGTAATAATATTTTCTCCAAAGAATTGTCATGGGTATTAACGATGTCATGTATAAAACTCACTTATTCCAATGCCTAGAACACAGTAGCTATTAGTGTTATCATCACTTGGTTCTTTTCTTCCTCCCCCAGGCATGAGGGAGGGCAAGTTTCTGCAAATTGTGAAGTCCTTTTGCTGTATTTTTCTGGTTCATATCCTTAAAATAGGAAGCACAAAATTGTACTGTTTATCTGCAGGTTTTCAATGTTACATGCTACTCTGTAAGTTCAATATTTTATTTCATTTATTAACCAGTCGGTTTTTAAGATTCCTTAGAGCACAGAATATGTCTTAGACATTTTTACATCTCCAGAACAAGGTCCCATATTTTTACCTGTTTTATTGTTACAGGCTTTATAATTCCAAAATATTATATATGTTAAAGGAAACTTTAGTATTTAAAATTAACTATAACTAGTTACCAATTTCAATAAAAAAAAGATTTTCTTATTATTTGAAGGCCAATAGTCTATTACATCTAATCAAACAATGCATTAAAATACAAGGACATTAGTAAGTGCCACCAGTATGAGAATAAATGTTACTTTTAAATACTTAGCTTCTGAGGTTGAAAGAAAGACATTGCAGTTTCATCAGTTAATATTTACCTATTAAATGATTCATTTGTATACCCTATCTCTCATGCACAGACACCCTTCTAACCACATATCATCTGACCTATTAAATAGTTTAGAATGTGGTTGATACTTTTATTTCTGAAAGGCTAGCAACCCACCAACGATCAATATTCAAAACAAAACTAATCAGAATTAACATGATTTTTTCGCTTTTATACCCTAAAAAAGGAATCAAATAAGAAGTAATATTTTAGTGAGTTAATAATTCTAAATGCATCTTAGTGGATTCAATTAAGTCTCCTGCATCTGGAAGATTTTTTTACCAAAAAAAACTGAACATAACCTAGACAAAGCCAGAGACAAAGAGAAAGCATCATTTTTACAAAGATTTTGCTGTATTTTTGTTCACTTGTAAAATATTTCTACTTTGCTGTCTATTCATTTCTCTTAAACCTCATAGTTCAAACCAACCACACTTCTCTCTAAATCAGTAGTTTTCAGCCTCGCTGTACATTAGAAACCCCTGAGGAGCTTTTAAGACATTCTCATGCCTAGGTCTTACTCCAGACCAATTGAATCAGAGTCTCTGAATAGAGCTCCCCATGTGATTCTAATGGGATCCAAGTAGATTTTGGCAACAATATTTTGAGGGTTCCATTTGTTTTCTATAGCACCAAAGAAGGGAATGGAATTTTCATGTGGCACAATATAAGAAGCTCAAACTCAGCAAAGCTAAACGTAAATTTGGATATTTCTATTCTGTCTACTGTTTATCTACCTCTCTCTCATCCTCCACATCTAACACAAATCTTCCTAAATTTTCCATGTATTAGTCCATCATTCCATTGCTACAGTAATAGCCTACTATTAGCTATCATCATATTTTTGCCTGAACCACTGAAAGTTCCTAATATCTTGTCTTTCAATAATGCCACTTGTCTCCCTCCAGTTTGTTTTTTACACTTACAGAGTGGTATTTTCTAAATTAAAATGTAATCACTTCACCAAGCTCATCAAATTCCTTTAACGGCTTCAGCATTAGTGCAGACTATATTCTTCATCTGACCTATGGCATACATACTACATGGGCTGGCCTCCAACTATGACTCAACCCTCAACACATAGTGCTCTTTCTATTATTCATTCCACTCCAGTCCACTAGCCTTCTTTCAGTTCTCTGAACACAACCAGCTCCTTTCCAACATACCACCTTTCACACATCTTGGGTAAATCTAGAATGCTTTTAATTCTAATCATCCTTATATTGTAGTTGACTTATCACTACCAGACAAAAGTTCTCCCTGACCATCCCAATATATGAAATATTACTTTACTACATGCTCATAGAACTGGACCCTTCCCCTGTAGAATGGTAATCCCATCCCAACCTGGCATTACACATTTATTAGTGTGATTACAGGGTGATATTCAAATTATGTCACAACTTGTACAGCAATATAAAATAATATATAATTAACATATAAAGCAAAAATTCAAGTATATTCCCCATTCTCTAAATACACCAACACTCAGTATTTTTGTATGAGTGTGTGTAAACTACCATTTATTAAATGATGACTTATAGCATAAATTGTCCATCAAATTATTCTAACTATGCCCAAATTTTTTGTTGATTTTTAGAAGGCATTTTTTGTGATCTTTTATTTATATCAGATGTTATGAGCTACGTAAAGTCCTTTTCTATCCTACGGTTTAACATAAGAAACCAGATAAAACTATTTAAATGAAAATCTCATTAAAATCATGCTCATTCGATGACACTATCAATAAGCAGATCATTTATCTTTACACCAACAATAATATGCTTGGTGCTGAATATTCATAGCTCCTGTCAAATTAATGGTAATTACACTATCGTGCTTTTGGTCTTGAAAATACTGTATTTTTAATATACTCAGTATCTATATTATTGACCAAGTCGCAAAAAGTATTTATTGCAACATCTCATTTAATGGGTCTCAACTTAATCCTTCTGGTTAAAGGTGTGAAGTAGAGCCGTGTGGCAGTCAGCCACATTTATATTTACACATTATATTTACAAATGTATTTTGTTACATTTGATCAAGAAGGCAGACATTTGATGGGTTTTAACAGAATTGTTGCATTAAAAGGTAAAAATTAATAGAGATGGTAAAAAGGAGGACTTTTCTTCAGCATCCCCAGGTCTAATCTCCTCTAAACCAAACCCACGGAATTTTCTCTATGAGTATGGACCCTGCAATGTTTCCCACATCCCCAGCTGCCCCAGTTACACCACAGCCCCGGCTATCTCAGTCTCTATCCAGTTCGCTAAAAGCTAATATTCCAAGGAGGCCATAGTTTCCCTCCAACAAAGGGAGTAGTGAGAATGCTGGCTGGCAATGTCTACCACACATATTTCGGACTAAATGAGTTCCAACCTTTAGGCATTGGGTTCCCTGTACCCCCACCAGTGAACAGCGGTATCTTTATGGCTGAGTGCCTCCTGCTCTGCCCTGAGTGTAAGTGTATGGGTGGAAGAGGGCTAGCTGGACAGCTGACAGGCACCAGCCTTCTCCCTACTGAAGCCCCCATTGCCTGGGCAAGGCAGGAGACCAGAGAGTGAGATGTCACTATCCCTTTGTCTCCTTTGGATTCAATGACAGAACCAAGTGAGGAGGCAAGATTTACAAGAGACTGAGTGGTATTTACATTGACCAATCAAAATACAAATGGATTAAACTGGATCTGGGAACCAGAGACCTGCTTCTGTGCCTACCTGATGTTACTGTTTTAGCTGCTGGATATCAGGAAAGGTGGGGAAGGGGAAGATTGCACTCTTGAGGATGGCAGCCATTTATCCACTTTACCAACTGGGTTTTGTTCTTGTTGTTGTCATTTGTTTGTTGGTTTGGTTTTGAGACAAAGTCTCACTTGTTCTGTCACCAAGGCTGGAGTACAGTGGCACAATCTTGGCTCACTGCAACCTCCTTCTCCCGGGTTCAAGTGATTCTCTGGCCTCAGACTCCTGAATAGCTGGGATTACAGGCACATTTCACTATACATGGCTAATTTTTGTATTTTTGATAGAGATGTGGTTTTGCCATGTTGGCCAGGCTGGTCTCGAACTCCTGGCCTCAAGTGATCCACCTGCCACAGCCTCCCAAAGTGCTGGGATTACAGGCATGAGCCACCGTGCCCAGCCCCAATTGGTATTTAAGGATTGTAACAATCTATCAACTGGATTGTCTTTATTGGTGTGTATACTGGTTAAATACCTGTACTAGTCCATTTTCACACTGCTGATAAAGACATACTGGAGACTGGGAGGAAAAAGAGTTTTTATATGACTTACAGTTCCACATGGATTGGGAGGTCTTATAATCATGGCAGAGGGCAAAAGGCACTTCTTACATGGCAGCAGCAAGAGAGAATGAGGAAGAAAGAAAGGCAGAAACCACTGATAAACCAATCAGATCTCCTGAGGCTTATTCACTAGCATGAGAATAACATGGGAAAGACTGGCCACCATGATTCCATTATCTCCTCCTGGGTCCCTCCCACAACATGTGAGTATTCTGGGGAGATACAATTCAAGTTGAGATTTGAGTGGAGACATGGCCAACCCATATCATTCTGCCCTGGCCCCTCCAAATCTCATGTCCTCACATTTCAAAACCAATCATACCTTCCCAACAGTCCCCCAAAGTCTTAACTCATTTCGGCAGTAACCCAAAACAAAGTCTCATCTGAGACAAGGCAAGTCCCTTCTGCCTATGAGACTGTAAAATCAAAAGCAAGTTAGTTACTTCCTAGAAACAATGGGGTACAGGTATTGGGTAAATACAGCCATTCCAAACAGAAGAAATTGGCCAAAACAAAGGGTTTACAGGGCCCATGCAAGTCCCAAATCCAGCGGGGCAGTCAAATTGATCTCCTTTGACTCCAGGTCTCACAACCAGGTCACGCTGATGCAAGAGGTGTATTGCCATGGTCTTGGGAAGCTCTGCCCCTGTGGCTTTGCAGGGTATAGCCTCCCTTCTGGCTGGTTTCAGGGGCTGCTGTTGACTGTCTGTGGCTTTTCCAGGCACACGGGGCAAGCTGTCGGTGGATCTGCCATTCTAGGGTCTGGAGGACAGTGGCCCTCTTCTCAGAGCTCCACTAAGCAGTGCCCCAGAAGGGACTCTGTGTGGGTTCTCCGACCTCATATTTCCCTTTTGCACTGCCCTAGCAGAGATTCTCCATGAGAATGGAGAATGTAGGGCCCCGCCCCTACAGGAAACTTTTGCCTGGGCGGCCAGGTGTTTCTGTACATCTTCTGAAATCTAAGCGAACTTTCCCAAACCTGAATTCTTGACTTCTAGTTCTGTGCACTCGAACGCTCAATGCCACGTGGAAACTGCGAAGGCTTAAGGCTTACATCCCCTGAAGCCACAGCCTGAGCTGTACATTGGCCCCTTTCAGCCACGGCTGGAACGGTTGGGACACAGTGCACCAAGTCCATAGGCTGCACACAGCACGGGGACGCTGGGCCTGGCCCGTGAAACCACGTTTTCCTCCTGGGCCTCCAGGCTGGTGATGGGAGGCGCTGCTATGAAGTCTCTGGCATGGCCTGGAGATATTTTCCTCATGGTCTTGGGGATTAACATTAGGCTCCTTGCTACTTATGGAAATTTCTGCAGCTGACTAGAATTTCTCCCCAGAAAATGGGTTTTTATTTTCTATTGAATAGTCAGGCTGCAAATTTTCTGAACTTTTATGCTGTTTCCCTTTTAAAAATTGAATGCCTTTAACAGTTCCCAAGCCACCTCTTGAAAGCTTTGCTGCTTAAAAAGTTCTTCCGCCAGAAACCCTAAATCATCTCTCTCAAGTTCAAAGTTCCGCAAATCTCTATGGCAGGGGCAAATGCTGCCAGTCTCTCTGCTAAAACAAAACAAGAGTCATCTTTGCTCCAGTTCCCCACAAGTTCCTCATCTCCATCTGAGACCACCTCAGTCTGGACCTTATTGTCCATATCCCTATCAGCATTTTGGGAAAAGCCATTCAACAAGTCTCTAGGAAGTTCCAAACTCTTCCACATTTTCCTGTCTTCTTCTGAGCCTTCCAAACTGTTCCAGCCTCTGCCTGTTACCCAGTTTCAAAGTTGCTTCCCCAGTTTCGGGTATCTTTTCAGCAACGCCCGACTCTACTGGTATCAATTTATTGTATTAGTCTGTTTTCATGCTGCTGATAAAGACATGCCCAACAGTGGGAAGAAAAAGAGGTTTAATTTGACTTACAGTTCCACATGGCTGAGGAAGACTCATAATCATGGCAGAGGGCTAAAGGCACTTCTTACACTGTGGCAGTAAGAGAGAATGAGGAAGAAACAGAAGCGGAAACACCTGATAAACCTATCAGATCTCATGAGACGTATTCACTATCACAAGAATAGCATGGGAAAGACTGGCCCCCATGATTCAATTACCTCCTCTTGGGTCCTTCCCACAACATGTGAGAATCCTGGGAGATACAATTCAAGTTGGAATTTGGGTGGGGACACAGCCAACCCATATCAGTATGGAAGCTGTGTAATTATCTGTGTAATTATTCCTTTAATGCTCACTTCCCACCAGAGTGTAAGATCCATGAGGTTCAGGGCTGTGGAAAGTTTGGCTTATCTTTTCTTGTACATTGCCTAGACTAAAAGTGTATCACATAGCAGGACTTCAATAAGTGTTTGTTATTGTATGAATCAATGAGGGAAATCATAATCATTCTCCTAATATCTGCTATTT
Organism: Homo sapiens; assembly: GCF_000001405.40. NCBI lineage: Eukaryota > Metazoa > Chordata > Mammalia > Primates > Hominidae > Homo > Homo sapiens. The sequence goes on along the minus strand of NC_000011.10, from coordinate 99,530,368 downwards.
CCTTTGTGGTTTCATACTACAGCAACAAAATCATGTTTACCTTATGAAATTAGACTCTCAGTAACCTACAGTTTTTTAATACAGACTGATTGCAAAAGGATGATTAAGAATGCATTTAATATTTATAGTATCTTAAGGAGAGAAATACAGTAATGCAGGAGCAGGCCAAGGAGTTAGGGTATCTGAAGATCATACTGAGTGTCTTCTTTAGAAAAATAATATACAATTTTAAGTACAGAATTGGGTACAAATTGAATGCTTGCTTGGTTAGGGAAAAACATCACAACACATTGCAAAGTTGTAAAGACTAACAAGTACCAAAAATACAAAATATGGAAAAATAAAATAATGCTTTCCTTAAATGTTTTATGTCCCTCTAATCACTTTAAAATATTTTTAAGTATTTTTGTTTTTCTTATTAAAGGAAACTTCAATTATGCAAATATTTAATATTTTTGCTTACTGTTTATTTGTTTAACATTTTCTAATCTTATTTCACTGGTTTTTCATTCTCATATTTTTTCTTTTCCATACTCCACTCCATGTTAATTACAGTGTTTTCCACATTGTCCATTTTACCTTGTTCTTTGTTCTTTTTTTAACTTGTTTTATTTTTATATTGTGTTCTAAAAATTAATTTTAACCAACTACTGTTGCTTCACCTGAGTTCTTGCATTTCATTTTTTTCTGTATTATTTTCATTGAAATAATTATTTTGTTACCTTTTCAAAGTCATGGTAAAGTGTTTGGTCTGAACTTTGGGTTTGGATCATAATCCCCAAAGACTCAATCCCAAATGCCTTAACCCTAATGTTGAAATCCTGAAATATAAAAATTCCTTATGTCTAAATATCTACAGTTCAAAATCCCTAACATTTAAAAGAAAAGTTCTAAAAATCCCAATCACAAGATCGTTGTTTCATGTTAAGTGTAACTGTTACCTTGTTATTGTCTTTATTTGGAAATGAAGTATGGTTTAAGAGGATGCTTACAGGTGCCAAGTTGACAAGGGGTAGATTTGTGGACTTAGTTTTAGGTGTCAACTTGACTGGAGTAAGTCATACATAGAAACTTCGTAAAGCATTATTTTGAATATGTCTGTGTGGGTGTTTCCAGAGGAGACTAGTGTGCGAACCTGAGTGGATCAGGTGGGGAAGATCTGCCCTCAGTGATGGTGGGCACCATCCAATCAGCTGGGCCCTGGAGAGAACAAATACAAAGGTGAATTGGTCTCTTTCTGAGAGCTGGGACAGACCTTTCTTTTTTGTGGTTTTGTTTGTTTGTTTGTTTTTTGAGACTCAGTTTCACTCTTGTTGCCCAGGCTGGAGTGCAATGGCACAATCTTGGCTCACTGCAACCTCTGCCTCCCAGGTTCAAGCAATTCTTCTGCCTCAGCCTCCCTAGTAGCTGGTATTAGCTGGTATTATGGGCATGCACCACTATGCCAGGCAATTTTTTTTTTTTTTTAGTAGAAACGGGGTTTCTCCATGTTGGTCAGGCTGTTCTCGAACTCCTGACCTCAGGTGATCCACCCGCCTTGGCCTCCCAAAGTGCTGGGATTACAGGCATGAGCCACTACGCCCGGCCTGAGCCATAGGCACCTGGCTGACCTTTCTTATGTCACCTTTGACATTAGAACTTAAAGCTCACTGGCCTTTGGACTTTCTAAGTCCTGAAGCTTTCAGCCTACAAATGAGAATTACACCATCAGCTTCTCTGGTTCTCAAAGTGAAAACACTGAAGCTTCCTTAATAAATGGAGAAATGTCCCATTTGTACGTGTGCATTTGTGAAAGATAAAGTTTCTCAAGATCTCAGCTCTTTTGGTGACTGCATATGCAGTTGTAACTTACTGTGGTTTTCCATAGATCTTGTCAAAAATCTCAGGTTGTCTGCCATGGTATTTCAGATGACTCCAGTTATAAAGCTTGGTGCTCACACTAACTGACCATAGTGATATGCATTTATAGATTTTGCTTTTAGATGTATTTCTGTATGAATACAATTCACGTGCTCGTAACTATTACATGTATGTGACTGTCATTAGTATACCTTACTGTTTATGCTTGCAAAAATATGTTACCATTGTGTATTTTATTGTGTAAATTGGCCTAGGAAGTATTGTTGTGCTTTTGTATGTTTCTCAAATAATTCCTCTTTAAATATGTAAAGAATTTTTTAGAATAATTTTAAAATTATTTTTTCCAGCATTATAGTTTCAGGATTTTGATCTTTCAAGGTTAGGATAGTTCTCCTGAATTTAGTGTTTTATGACAGCATCATTCTAGCAAAGCTTTCCAATAGTATTTTTATATTGATTGTTTCCAACTTTTATAGGGTTCACCAAGGAATGCATTAGATTTCCTGGCCCAGTTATTTGTAAAAATTTCCTTCAAAGATTACATGATTTGTTGCCTTTTCTAAAATTTGCATCTCTGGATTGTTTGACTGTTCTCTGCGGGGCTTTGTTGCAACTTTTCTGTCTATGCAGCATCTGCTTGATCTCTGTCTACTCTGTCTAGATCCTGCAACTCTTGTTTGATGCAGATAATAAATTTTTTCCAACTCTGCCTTTGCCTTATGCCTTCGTGAGGTGTATTTTTACTGGCATTGCCCTGGCAGTTGTACTGTCATTCTGTTAGTGAACACTTTCCCATTCGAGGCTTCTGCTGAACCTCACTTCACATGGCTTCTATGAGAGTCACACAGTCTGTGATTGATATATGCCTTCATGTTTCAATGAAAATAGAGAGGTTATTTTTTTTTCTGTTTACCTTGTCACTTTTGTAGGAAATGCAGAAAAAGGGAGAAGTTGCTCTATTTTTCTTCCATATTCATACTGGAAGTCTTGGTATGTAGCTTTTCTCTGCATTCTTTTGCATAGTTAATTTTGTTAAATCTAACCAACACATTTTTATAATTTTAAAGAAATTATAATTTATTAAAGACTTGGTGTCTCTGACTGTAAGAGAACAGTTGCATAAAAGGAATGAAATAATATTTAACCTAGGGATCACATTAATATCCCTCATGCCTATACTCTGGTAGTTTCTTGAAGGGAACATAAGGTCAATCAGAAAGGAAACCCTGAAGACTAAAGGCATTGGCTGTGCTGAATAAATGTTAGATAGATTATAATCCTTGAGAGAAGTCTCAGGGCAAAGTAGTCATAAGCTAAAGCACAATCAATAGCTAAACTAGCTAGCAGGAGAGGCATTTAGCCCAAAAGCAAACATTCTGCTATTTCAGACATCCCAGCTATCCTAGGGGAGACAAGTGGCTTTACTCTTAGTTAAAAGGGCAGTGGATCTCAGGAGATATGTGAGATGTTAACAGGCTTACAATGAGCACAAAGGTGATTGGGTACTTTGTGTTTTTCATCCACATGCTTCATTACAAATGCACAACCTGTTTGTTCAATCAAACCCGACTGTGGAAATGGTGTAAAGGTTTCTCTCTGAGTAAAACATCAGAGCAGTTTCACGATCTTGGAAAGCAATTCTAGCAGCAGTGTACTTTTCTGTGTGTTGGCTGAGTTTTACAGACTGTGGACTCAAATAACATCAAGTTCACTCTCAAATGAAAACAAATGTACACATAATGAATATGTAGGTATCTGTTGTAAAGAAGCATCAGTTAACACAGACTTACACTTGAACACATTCGATGCCACACCTTGTATATAACATTAATAGGTACTAAGTATCCACTGACTTGCCTTAATAAAAATATCATTACACCTCAAAGAATTGATCGTGACTTGACACAATTTGCTACAGATTCCCACTTGTTGATCAGCTCCAACCTAGGAAGATTTGCCCCCAAACTATCAATGCATCACTGTCAACGAAGCCACAAGGAATACAAAAAAATCCCTGCATTTTGTTTGAGCTATTCTTGCATAAAACTATTTCATCTCTTTGTAAAGCCAGTTCCGGACTTCTCGGCTTTCAGATTTCAGTAAAAAGCATGATTTCTGAAATGAAGTCATCCAATGAATTGAATGGGTTATTCTGGGCTGTTCTAAGTATCAAAGGAGACCACACAGTGGCTGGTAGGTCTTGTTCCCCACACGCAGGTGTATAAGTCAGTGGGAAGAGCTCTATTTTGAAGCATTTAAAGAAAAAACACACTACTTCTTTTCTTCTTCTACCACGTCATTTCCTAAATATTTTCTCTTCTTTATTATTAGATCAAGTTATTGGCAAGTCAGAACCAGAGACTATGGTATCAATAGACTGACAAGTTTTAATATAGCCTTACAGTTTTTTGCTTAAAGGAGCTGAAAGTATCTGTTTTACTCACAAATCCAATGAGCTAAACTGCATCTTCACTTCAAAGAAAAATTATTACATATATAAAAAGTGATAAAACATTAATGTATAATGCCTTTTAAATGTAGAACTGCTTTGATGTAACTAAAATAAACCTTTATTTTTTAATTTATCTCATGTCAGTGTTTGTTTTGTGCCTTTCAAAGCAATAGGATTGATAATCATCCTCTCTCTATTCTAGTTAATGAAAATGTCTTAGAAAAAATAATAAAACTATCTGAACAATAACAAAAAATACCAGGTCAGTCATTTTGTTTCTGAGTAGAAATTCACGCTCAAGACTCTATTGATTATTGGCTCTCTGCCTGGCTATTAAAACCACATTCTTCCTTTTGCTTTCTTAAAGTGGACCTACTAATATTCCACTCTAGCAAGTCTATGCATTTCTTCAAACTTTTGTAGCTTGCAGCTATTACCTAAATTCTCTTCATACAAATTCAGAAATACCTCTGTCACCTCATTTGCCAAACAAGTCCATCTATCATTTTAATTACCCCAGATCATCCTAACTTGAAGTGAATCCTGCTTCCTCAAAACTCCTATACTACTTATCTGGACAATGTTTTTGACATATCGTTTGAGCCTTGTATATTTCATAATCTATTCATCTGTGCACTAGAAGTACTTTAGGAATAGTGACTATTGTACTTAGTACGTACTTATAAGATAATCAAAATTTCTAAAGATATAGCAGCACCTGGAAGTCTCTTTAAACAAGCTGTGTGCTGTTTTTGTCCTTATTTTTTTTAAATTATAAGTTGATCCACAAAGTCCCATTTGACCTTCATTTCCAGATTCATTAACTAGTGTCCTGACTTTAGTTTTGATCTTGCTTTAAAGTTTATAATATTTTGCTAGAAGATAGGTCTTCCTAATGTAAAAAAAAAGCCTCCCTTTAAATTGGCTTTTCATGGTAAATGATGACAATAATGTAGGAAAATATGACAATGTGTACTGTATCTAGTGCACATAATTTCTATGAGGACTGAGGCATAACTAATAGTTCTTTCATGTTTGCTCTGTACTTTAAATGATTTAATTAAGATCATTTATTTGGAAATTTTCACTTGTTGTTAAGAAGGCCTCAGTATGTTTTGAAAGCCAATTGATCATAAGAACTTGATGACTAAAATTAGGGGAAAAAGATGGAAGGATTTTAGTATTTATACAATTTAGTATGTTTTTATTGAAAATATATATACATATAAATACACTTTTTTTTTGTTTTTTTTTGAGATGGAATCTTGCTCTGTCGCCCAGGCTGGAGTGCAGTGGCATGATCTCAACTCACTGCAACCTCTGCCTCCCAGGTTCACACAATTCTTGTTCCTAAGCCTCTCGAGTAGCTGAGATTACAGGTACCCATCATCAATTTTTTGTATTTTTAGTAGAGATGGGTTTTCACCATGTAGGACAGGCTGGTTTAGAACTCCTGACCTCAAGTAATCTGCCTGCCTCAGCCTCCCAAAGTGCTAGGATTACAGGCATGAGCCACTGCTCTCGGCCTATAAGTATAAATATATTTCATTGACACACGTATTATTTCATGATTTCGCTGTACAAATACCACTAAAGGCTTTGGTGATTTGTCACAAATAGTTGGTTTTAGAGATTTAATTTTAATTTAACAAACTAGATGAAAACAATAAGGAAAATATTCTACACAAAGATATAAAATGTTGAATAAGAAATAAGAATATTATTATACCTTTAAATTAAAATGATCATTTTATGAAAATACAAAACAAACTTGTATAATCAGAAATTTTAACAGCTTAGTCAGGGAATATCCTCCAAATAGTGACCTGACAATGCCAGATTAAAAGCACCATCAAAAGTGACCCAGACCAGAAACTGTGATTGACCATTTTCTGCCTGTTGCTATGGCATGTTGAGCCATAAATTGTCTATTTCTGAAGAGATATTCTGAAAAGTTATTTTCATTCATTTTTTTACTTTTATAGGTATTTATTTATTTCTATTTTTCAAATTTCTTGTCATTTCTCCCAATTTCAGCCAGAAAAAAAAGAAAGTCCTTCATCTTTGGCACAGCTCTGGAGAAAAGAGATTATGGAAGAAGTAGTCTGGGCTATTCAGAGAATATCAATCTTTTGCAAATTAATGACTGCTTGTACTCATCTAACATCCAACCTAAACTCTGGCAAACATCAGCATGCGCTCAGTAAAGAAACCACTTGGCATTTGTTGAGTCTCTCTTACTCTAGATCTGTTCTATGTTTGCTCAATCACGCTTCCTAGATATGTGCTGGGGAGTGTGGGAACCGAGGATACAAAAACAAACACATATTCTATTCTATTCTATTCTATTCTGTTCTATTCTGTTCTGTTCTGTTCTGTTCTGTTCTGTTCTGATCTGTTCTGTTCTATTCTATTCTATTCTATTCTATTCTATTCTATTCTATTCTATTCTATTCTATCTTTCTTTGAGATGGGGTCTCCCTCTGTCACCCAGGCTGGAGTGCAGTGACCTTTGCTCACAGCTACCTCCATCGCCAGGGCTCAAGTAATCCTCCAGCCTCAGCCTCCTGAGTAGCTGGAATGACAGGCACACACGATCACACCTGGCTAATTTTTGTGTTTTTTGTAGAGATGGGGTTTCGCCACGTCGCCTAGGCTGGTCTGGAAGTCCTAAACTCAAGGGATCCGCCCCTCTCAGCCTCCCAAAATGCTGAGCCACTGCACCCAGCCAGCCACAAGCATTCTATTTTAAACAGCCCATAATCCAGACTGTAATTTACTGTACCAGTATGTTCAAATACAGTGTGATAAGAGCAATAATAAGAGTATACTCAATGTACGCAAGTAGTTGACACAAAGGAAGAGTGTCAACAGACGAATGTAGTAGACTTTGAAAGATGAGAAAGGCTGTACGGGGTAAAAGAGGGAAAGTCATTTCAAGTACTGAAAGGAGGAAAAATATGATAGCTTGATAGAATGTAGATAATTGCCTATGGCTTGGTATTGCTGGAACATAATGTGAAATAATAATAAACAGAAGTTTTGGTTAGTGCCAGAACATAAGTAAGTATCTTGGACTTTTTTGGAATTTAGTGTGTGTACAGGGAGAGGTTATTGAATGGTCTTCAGTGGGAGTGTGACCTAATCAAATTTGTTTGGAAGGATGATTCTTGTAACACATGAAGGAAGGGCGAGAAGGCACGGCATTAGTTACAAGGAGAGGAGTTAAGGCTATTACATTAATATTGAAGTATTCTAAAGAATATCAATAAAGAAAGATAGATGCCAGTATTTAAATATGAGCTTTCCTAAAAGTAGCTGGAATGTACAACTTAAAAAGTATTCTTTTCATTCCTACTATATTAATCATATGATCCTTCGACTACATTAAAGGCAGAAAATCCAAACAATTTTTAAAAGATGAGTCATTGGTTAAAATTACAAAGTATTAAATAATTTATTTATATTCTCCAAATAACTCAGCTCTTTAGTGAATGTCTATAGAGAATTACAAGAAGTATCTTTTTATTCCTTCTTTAAATTTTCTGTAGTAAATATGGATAAAACTTTCCTAGAATACCGTTACTTGTTCCAGTAGTATACTAGAATAGCCCTTTGCATATTTGAAAAAAATGTATAGTATTTTATTTTCTAGACTTGTTATTAAAATAACCACTTAGTTCCTGATACTTCAAATTAGATTTATTGACCTCAATTAATGATGAAAATTCAGTAATTTGGTAAAAATAATCCAATTTAAATATCTGCTAATTCCATAATGACAACAGTTGTAATCTAAAAGATGGTATTTTAATTATAAACTTGCTCTATTCAAAAAGTTCCTTAAAGTTCTTTCTCTGAAAAGAACTTTATATGTTCTTTTATAGGTGTTCATATTCTCTCCTTCTGCTGTCTCCAAATCTTACCATAAGAGAGAGAAAAAGAAAATAAACCTCCTCCACTTCATGTCAGTTTTCCCAAGTTTCCAGTTTTCCTCTGTGGCCCCATGGTTGACATTCTCATAGAAGATGATTTTTTATTCATTTTTTTTATTACCCAAGCTTTAAATCTCTGCTAGTCACAAGACTACTTGCAGAAGGAAACTTACTGCAAAGGTAAAGAGATTGCAAATGTTCTTACATTTTGAGCCTGTTCCTTATTCTTCTTCCTGATAACAGATAAACTCATCCCCAGCTAATTAATAGAGAAACATGTTTGAATGAATTTTGTTCTAAAACAACTGTTACCTACCAGAAACAAAAGCAAAATGCGAGGAAAAGACTGATTACTGATGCTCTAGCTTTTCTTGTCCAAGTTAGAAAAGACTGTAGCCACTCAGAGTCAACTACAGCAACAAGAGCAACAGATACACTTTGGACTCACTGCTTAATGAGCAAGGAGGAGGACAAAAGTGATGGTGGGAAATAGCAAGCTAACGCAGTTAAAGCAAACTTTATTTACAAAGTGTCCTTTTTTTATTCCTCTCCTCTAAAAGAAAGGATGACTCACATTTTTATTCATCAATTGAAATTTGTACCTAGTGAATGCAATTATTATAATGTTATTCTTTGAAAATGATAAATACAATTAAAATAAGTCACCTAAAATTATTTTTTTAGAGATTACAAAGTATTTCCTTCTAAATTATTTGGTATCAAACTTAAAAAGAAACTTGTGATTTAGGCATGAGAGGTAATGCCTCTATTTTACACCTAGATACTTGATCTCAGAAAAGTTAGACATATATCCAGCAAGTTAAGTGGCAAGCCCAACTTCTGGAAGCTCAGGAAGCAGGCTTGAAGGATTGATGTTATCAACCTTCAGCCACATCTTTTCCCCAGCTCCAACAATGCTAGCACATCTAAATTTAACTAATATAGTTGACAGAAGGAGGAGGAGGAGGAGTAGGAGGAGATGAGGAAGGAAAAGAAAGGATTCAGCATCCCATAGTGGAAAGCTTACTGGACTTAAAATGGAAGGCTTGGGTTTTGGTTCTGGCTCTTCTAAATTTTAATCATATAATCTTTGGTTGTGATGAGATTTAAAGGATATAATTAATCTGAAGGAGCTATATAAACCGCATATTACTATGCAATTGAAAGCTATTATTCTGATCATATCATAAGCCATTTACCTCTACCATGGATCCTGCCTTAACTAACATTTATTTGATGCCTTAAAGCAGTACAAACAAAGGTGCCCAGTTGACATTTTTTGAGCTACCCAAGCCATTGTAACATTTTTATGATGTTGTACATACATTTTTTATTTTGGTAAAAAATTTTTGGACCATAAATATTTGTGATCTTCTCTTGGATCCCAAAATACGTATGAGAAGGAAAGAAAAAGCAGGAGGTTGTATGTACTAACACTCCTACCTTCCCTCATGTCCTTTACCCCATGACAATTCTTTATCAGTGAGGTCCCTCACTCTTTTCTTTCTTTATCAGGCAACCAGTTGTTGCTGCACAAACATTGTGTCTCAGGACAAGATACTCTGAAAGGTTTGGGAAGAGCTGGTGACCTTCAAATGCTGCTTAATTCTTTTCCAGAGAATTAAGTTGGCTTTAATAAGAAGTTTAAGAAACTGCTCCCTACATTGTTTTTCTTAATCATCCTATCTTTCTTGTGTAAGCACTTTGATCATGCATAAAGCATGTAAGTTTACCTTAGTATCACTGATGAGGATTGGGGGAGTACAAAGAGAATAAAAATGAGAAATAATAGTTCATTAAAAGCAGTTATCTAGGAGAGACTATACAAATTTGGTGTTATTAATTTCTTACAGCCAGGTTAGATGTTTTCTAAGCTACTTCAAAGTTTAGGAAACTCTCACTTTATATTTAGAGTATTTCAATAGCTGTATGTAAATCCAAAATATAAATATTCTGCCAGAGAATCTAACATAAATACTTTAATTTTTAAGTCACCAAATACTTTCTGGTTGTATTGAATTCTCATGTGCTATAAAAGCCAGGGTGAGCGTAAAATAAATGCTATATAAAAACATTTAAATATTCTGGTTCAGTGAACTAGCACAAAAGGTTGCCACAAAAATGGCAGACAAGTAATCAAAAACAGCTAAGGGAGCATGAATGTGGGAAGAAAAATACAGTAAATTATTTATTGACTATCCACTTAAAGTCTGGAATTCTCCTGATTCCTTAGGGGTAAAAACATTAAATGCATGGTCTCTGACAGGGAAACCTGCAGTCTAGTTAGGGTGAGAATTAGGGCATATCAACTCTTTTGACAGTACAAAATGCTCTTCTTTTTTTCCATGTAAACTCTAGAATTGTTCCCAGACTGGTTGAATAAACATGGAATGTGAAATGTATATTTTTATGCAGTTAAACTAGCAATTTATCTACTCATAAATGAAGATTAAAACTGAGCATTATCTATTAATAACTGTTTTAATATATGATAAAAGTAGAAATAATACTGTGAACATGTATTATAAATGAGAGCATAATTAGAAGGAAGAAAATTGACATATTCAAATTATTATCTAACATTTTGGTGAATGATACATAAATGTATTTGACAAATATTTGATTGCCTAATTTGTTGCCATGTGATAGACACCTTAGAAACAGAAACACACATATCCCCACATTCACAAAAATTATACTTTAGTGTAGAGACATTAATTAAATAATCACACTCAAATGAGTAAAATTGGTGCTGTGAACAAACTGTAAGGATAGCAGCATGATGTTAAGAAGAAGAGTATTGCATAAGAAAGACAGTAGAGGAATTTGACCCAGCAGGGAGATCAAAGAGGGCTTCTATAAAGAAGTTAGCTTGAGCTGAGAACGTAAGGGTGAGTAGAAATTAACTAAGTAAAAAAGCAATAAAAGGGAATTCCACAGAGAACATCATGTACACTTACTGGAGCAGTCTAAGTACAAAGGATAAGAAAAAAAGACGAGTTTGATTAGGCAGAGCCTAGTGAAGTTGGAGATGGGGTACTGGTAGACCAAGTTATGAGCTTCTGTCTTTATTCCAGGAGAAATGGAAACCCACTAAAAAGTTTCAGGCAGGATAGAAACATGCTTAGGTTTGAGTTTTCAAAAGTTAACTCTGGATGAGGTATGAAGAAGAAATTAGAAGGGTGGAGCTTAGCAGAATGGATGCATTTAATACAATTAGTTATAAATTAGGAGGCTAATTCACAGTATAGGTGAAATAAAATTGTAATTTGAAGTAAAGTGTTGCACTGGAGGTAGACAATGTAAAAGTTTTAAGAGACATTATATGGGCATAATTATTATAATTACTTGGGAAATTAAATATGAAAAGAAGAAGATATTAGGAATGATTTCAAATTCTCTGGACTACAAAGAAAATGGAAGATCTTGTCATTTATCTTAATAAGAAACAATGGAAGACCATAAGCTTATAGTATATTTGACTAAATACTTAATATAGCCATTGCTGCCATATTGCCCTGGAGAACGATCACTTTTCCAATGTAAAACATTAACCTTATTGTTGCTACTTCCTTTTGGAAGTAAAATTTTTCTCAAATTGTTGTGACTGCAGTGATATGCATAATTCAGGACACCAGAGTTTCACAAGAGCTTGAAGACCCACTTCATGATTTGTCGCTAGAGGTTTTGACTCGTAGTGATTTTAAATTTGTGGGTCTACTGTATTTTTGTTGATAAATGTTTTCTATATATACTTGCTCTGTTTTATCGGTTAAATACTACCTAGCCAGCTAAAGTCCTTTGAATACCTCCAACGGGTGTCTCATAAAGTGGCGACCTGAGTCTTAACAATGCTGCTTTCCTGTGAATGACACCTACTGGTCACATCTCACATGAGTCTAAGTTATTTTTCTAATTCAGTTGTACGCATCCGACTGAACTTGAGCAAATCAGATTTAATATACTGGAAATTTGAAACCTGGAAAAGACACACACACAGATATGAAATAATTAGAATTGAGTAATATTAATTATAAAACTCTAAAAGAAGGTCCATGACTGATAACTGTTTGGATACCCTGAATTGATTCTTTTCTAGGTTATGGGTGAATGTCTAATCTTTCCCTTGGTCTAATACCCTTCATATTCTCCAATATCATTCCTTTACAAACAAAATAAGAAATACAATGCCTATGATGTCCCAAGAAATATGCTAGTTACCAGGTTTGCACACAAAATATAACATTGTCCCTGTCCTAACCCTAAACTTAATCCCAGACTAACGATCAAAGAAAAACATTTAAGTTACTACTGAAACTAAAGTTAGGTGGGCTATGGTAGAAATGTGTGTTAGAGCTGTCAATTCACTTGTAAGAGGGGACAGAGAACAAGGGTAGCAGGTGAGCAAATGGTTTATGAAGGAAGTGACGTTATCACTAGCTTACAGAAGACAATCTGGCAGAAATTTTGAGGTGGGGCGTGGTGAGCTCAAGTCAAAGAAAGGCAGGTGAGAAAATACTCAGACATAAAGCAGCAGAAAATAGATTCAGAACTGCAATTATCTTGGGATGGCTGAGAAGTCTAGGAGAGAAATAGAATAAGAATGTGTGAATATAAACCTTAAGTGATGAGCAGGGACCAGATTGTGGAGAGTCTTGTAGAGCTTGCCAAGAATTTCGGAGTACATCCTATGAAAAATGGAGACATGTTGAAGGGCATTAAGGAAAGGAGTCATGTGATTAGTTTTGCATTGTAGAAAAAGGCTGTGGAGAAGATCTACTGCAAGATCTACTCTTGGAAGAGTCCAGGAAAGAGGTGATGAAGGGTTAAGGGAATAATAAAGAAAATATAAAAAGGGGTTTAATATACAAGACATTAAGGAAATTTGATAGAGCTTGATGACCGGTTAAATTTGTGGATAAAGGAAAGAGAAGACTTCTCATATTTCTGACTTGATACTTAACCTCCCTGTATTTGACTGGTCTTTAAAAGAGAGATAAAACCTGTCTATAGGGTGTTGTAAGGAATAAACTTAGATCATTTGTGGAGAATTCAACTGTGTGTGTAACATATAGCAGGAATTCAAACAGATTTAGTTTCCCTCCCCCTTTTATTCTACTTACCAAATAACTTAAAATAATCAAAGAAATACTCTTTCATGTCAATCACAATTAGTGCCCATTCATTTTTCATTGTTTAAACTGCTAATTATTTCACTTGTTGGGATTAAAACAAATCCCTTACAAAATGACACCTAACATAAGTATCTCACAGACTAATTTTTATGTGCATTCCAAATGAAATGAAAAAACAAGTTCTTACATTTTTAATACTAACATTTTTACACATGATAGTGAATTTCATTAACAAGAAATCTTAAAAAAATTCAGGATTAGGATTGAGGTAAAACTGCAATGTTTTCCATAATATATTTTGAAAACAAGTGTACTTAAATCTTTTTTTCCTAACAACTATATCAACAGCCATGAAAGAAATTCACATTTGCCAGTCACTGCCCCATTGGTGACCCTCACTCGATGCTCTCAGTTTGGATTGTGTGCCCGTGCGTAAGCATGTATGTGTGTGGATGTGTGCATTATGTATGCACCATTGTTATTTTTCATTTTGTTGACCAACTCACTTTTCAAAAAGAGAAGAACCTGAAAAGTGCTCTTTTCAGAGAACATACTAGTTTCCACAGAGACTAATTCTAGTCTATATGGAGTTCGTTTTCTCTTACCAGAAATTTGAGCTAAATATGAATTTTAATTACCCAAGGTTATTAGGAAAATTTTTGCCAATATAAAATAGACTCTTAGTTTGAGAAAATTCTACATATTAGAAATTGATTAGAACATATACCACTGGAATGGTAAAAATGATTTTTATTGCTAGATCTTCCAGTTTATATATCTCATTTTAGCTTAAGGATAAAAGACAGGTTGGACTTATATTTATGAGTATTGTAAATAAGCCATTTTTTTTAACAATTAGCACCTTCTCTTTATTCTGTTACTTATGGTATTGCATATAGCCGAGCAATTGATCAATTCATAACATAATCATATGTGAACCACTGTTTTAGTGTAGGGTAAGCGGTCAGAAAAACCTAGCTGACCATAAAACTTTCCATTTGGTAAGGTGTATAGATATGATTTTGTTTTTTTTTTTTCATAAAATTATATAAATAAACATTTAAGTGTATGACTCTCTACAATGTAGTTTAAAATATATCTTTTAAAGCATAGCTAGCAATTATTCATTTTGTATGAGATAATAGCAATTGATATAATGAATATTTACTATATATCAGCTAACTTAAAGATTCCTATTTCATCTATAAATCTCTTAATAAAATAGCATATAGAAATAAAACAGCATAAATGCATCTAGAAAACACATGCATTTATGGTTTAATGCTGATCTTGATGTACAAATCACATTTCTAATAAACTGATTAGTAATTAACTAATAAATTGAGGGGACAATTAAGGCAAAGCTTTTACATTTTTAAAATATGTTCCTACTTTGAACTTTATAAAATGCATCAGTTTTTTCTAAGTGAATTCTATGGCCTAATAATTACCTCTTATTATAAATAAAATGAGAATCTCAACGCAGGCATGAAATACAATGGTGAAAAAGACAGATGATATCTTTGTCAGTTTGTTCTATTAAGCAAGTGTTTACCTAATACTACAACAATGCATTTTTATTCTGAATCCCATAGCTAGTATTTCAAATATTCAGAACAAAGTCATTTTTCTCTAGCAGGAATTTCAGCTAAATCTATTCAGGCTGTGGCTATCAATTCTAATTTTGCATATATTTTATCAAAAATTATCTACACTACAAGAATTGTGACAGTTGTTAATTTTTTTGCTTTGTCTGACACCACATTCAGCAGTGTTAATCTCTCTTCGCTGCTTCTTTTATAAAAAATACATAATTTCTTCAACAAATATGTATAAATATACATACTGAACCAACAGAGCTTTTAAATTAAGTAGAGCTTTTTAAATATCCTTTTTGTTCAGTGACCTGTTTTCAATTTTGCTTAGCCCTTATGATTATACATTTTATGCCTGAAGCTATATATTTCATTTAGACATTTTTACTATAACAATTGCACATCGTTTTTTAAAAAGCTATGAGATGAAAGTCTAATATCTTCCTTTCTTTAACCATGATAGGTCCCACCCTTCATAGTCTCACTGACTTAAAGGAAATATCAAAAGTTTTCAGTTTTCAGTTTATCTTTCCATATATAGGCATACTCGGGATATAGTGCAAGTTCAATTCTTGACTACTGCAATAAAGCAAATATCATAGTAAAACAAGTCACACTAGCTTTTTGGTTTCGCAGTGCAATAAAAGTTATTTTTATACTACACTGAAGTCTACTAAGTGTGCAATAGCATTAGGTAAAAAACAACGTATATACCTCAATTTAAAATACTTTATTGCCAAAACAATATGCTAACCATCATCTGAGCCTTTGGCAAATGGTCATCTTTTTGCTAGTGAAGGATCCTGCCTTAATGTTATTGGGTTCTGGATGACAAGATTAGTAGTTCTGAAGGTTGAGATGGCTGTGGCAATTTTTTAACTTACAATAAGCAAAGAAGTTTTCCATTTCAGTGGACTCTTCTTTTCTTGAAAGATTTCTCGGTAGCATGCAACACTGTTTGATAACATTTTGCCCATGGTAGAATGTCTTTCAGAATTGAAGTCAATCCTCTCAAACCCTGATGCTGCTTTATCAACTGCATTTATGTAATCTCATATTTTGTTGTCATTTCCACAATGTTCACAGCATCTTTATCAGGAGTAGTTTCCATCTCAAGAAATTACTTTTGTTACTCATCCATAAAAAGCAACTTCTCATCAATTCAAGTTTGATCATGAGATTGCAGTAATTCAGTTACGTCTTTATGTTTCAGTTATAATTCTAATTTTCTTACTATTTCCATCACATCTGCAGTTACTTCCTCCACCGAAGTCTTGGACCCCTAAAATTCATCCATGAGGGTTAAAATTGACATCTTTTAACCCCTTGTTAATGTTCATATTTTAACTTTCTTCCATGAATAACAAATATTCTTGATGGGATCTAGAACGGTAAATCCTTTCAAGAAGGTTTTTAATTTATTTTCCCAAAATCCATCAAAGAAATCACTATGGTCATAATAGCTTTACAAAATGTATTTCTTAAATAAAAAGACTTAAAAGACAAAATTACTCCTTGATCCATGGGCTACAGAATGGATATTCTGCTAACAGGCATAAAAATAACATTACTCTCCTTGTACATCTCCATCAGAGCTCTTGCATGACCAGGTGCTTTGTCAGTGAATGGTAATATTTTGAAAGGAATCTTTTTTTTTTCTCTGAGCATTAAATCTCAATAGTGGGTTTAAAATATTTGGTAAAACATACTGTAAACATGTGAACTGTCATTCAAGCTTTTTTGTTCCATTTACATAGAACAGGCAGAGTAGATTTAGCATAATTCTTAAGCTCTAGGAATTTTGGAATGCTACATGAGCATTGGCTTCAACTTAGTCACCAGCTGCATTAGCCCTTAACAAGAGAGGCTGCCTGTATTTTGAAGCTTTAAAGCCAGGCATTAACTTCTACTCTCTAGCTATGAAAGTCCTAGACGGCATCTTCTTCCAACAGAAGGCTCTTTGTCTACATCAAAAATCTGTTGTTTAGTGGCCATCTTCATCAACGATCTTAACTAGATCTTCTGGATGACTTGCTGCAGCTTCTATGTCAGCACTTGCTGTTTCACCGTGCACTTTGTTATGGAAAAAGCTTCTTTCCTTCAATCCTATGAACCAACGTCTGCTATCTTCAAACTTTGCTTTTGCAGCTTCCTCAACTCTGTCAGCCTTCAAAGAATCAAAGAGTAAGGGCTTTTCTCTGTATTAGGCTTTGGCTAAAAGGGAATGTTGTGGCTGGTTTGATCCTCTATCCAGACCACCAAAACTTTCTCTCTATTGGCAATAAAGCTTTTTCTCTTTTATCATTCATGTATTCACTGGAGTAGCACTTTAAATTCCTTCAGAAAATTTCCCTTTGCATTTGGAACTTGGCTAACTGTTTGGCATAAGAGGCCTCACTCTTGGCCTATCTCAGCTTTTGACATGTCTTCCTCACAAAACTTAATCATTTCTAGCTTTTGATTTAAAATGAGAAACATGCTATTTTTCCTTTTACTTGAACACTTAGAAGCCATTGTACAGTTATTCATTGGCCTATTTCAATACTGTTGTGTCTCAGGGAATAAGGATGGAGGAGGAAGAGAGAAATGATGTAATGGTTGGTTGATGGAGAAGGCAGAACACATCAGTTATGTTCACCCTCTTATATGGGATCTGTTTGTGGCACCCCAAAACAATTACAATAGTGACATCAAAGATCACTGATCACTGATCACCGTAACAGGCATAATAATAATGAAAAAGCTTGAAACTATTCTAGAATTACTGACATGACACAAAGACAGGAAGTGAGCACATGATGTTGAAAAAATGGCACTAACAGACTTGCTGGACACAGGGTTTCCACGAGCCTTCACGTTATAAATAAGACAATATCTGCAAACTGCAATAAACCAAAGAGCAATAAAGCAAGGTATGCCTATACAGTCACTCTTCACTTAATGGCAGGGATATATTTTGAGAAATGCCCCATTAGGCGATTTCTTGTGAAAACATCATAAATATACTTTAACGAACCTGGGTGGTATAGATTACTACAATCCTAGGCTTTATGGGACATAGCCTGCTGCTCCTAGGCTACAGACCTGCACAGCATGTTACCGTGCTGCACACTATAGGCAATTGGAAGACAATGGTTAGTAACCTTACGCATGTATCTAAATGTATTAAAGGTATAGCAAAATGTGGTATGAAAGAAAAAATGCTATACCTGTCTAGGGCTCTTACTTTGAATGGAGGCGGCAGGGTTGGTATTTTGCTCTAGGTGAGTTCAGGAGTGAATGGGAGTGAATGTGAAGCCCTAGGACATTACTGTACACTACTGTAGACTTTATAAACACTGTGCATTTAGGCTACACTAAATTTATTTAAAATCTTTTTGTATCTTCAATAAATTAGCCTTAGCTTACTGTAATTAATTTACTTTATAAACTTAATTTTGTAAACTTTTTTGACTCATAACATTGAGCTTAAAACACAAATGCATTGTAGAGCTATACAAAAATATTTTTCTTTTTTTATGCAACTACATATTCAAAATTATTTATTTATTTATTTATTTAAATTTTATTATTATACTTTAAGTTTTAGGGTACATGTGCACAATGTGCAGGTTAGTTACATATGTATACATGTGCCATGCTAAATATATATGCACCCAATACAGGAGTACCCAGATTCATAAAGCAAGTCCTGAGTGACCTACAAAGAGACTTAGATTCCCACACAATAATAATGGGAGACTTTAACACCCCACTGTCAACATTAGACAGATCAACGAGACAGAAAGTTAACAAGGATACCCAGGAATTGAATTCAGCTCTGCACCAAGCAGACCTAATAGACATCTACAGAACTCTCCACCCCAAATCAACAGAATATACATTCTTTTCAGCACCACACCACACCTATTCCAAAATTGACCACATAGTTGGAAGTAAAGCTCTCCTCAGCAAATGTAAAAGAACAGAAATTATAACAAACTGTCTCTCAGACCACAGTGCAATCAAACTAGAACTCAGGATTAAGAAACTCACTCAAAACCTCTCAACTACATGGAAACTGAACAACCTGCTCCTGAATGACTACTGGGTACGTAACGAAATGAAGGCAGAAATAAAGATGTTCTTTGAAACCAACGAGAACAAAGACACCACATACCAGAATCTCTGGGACACATTCAAAGCAGTGTGTAGAGGGAAATTTATAGCACTAAATGCTCACAAGAGAAAGCAGGAAAGATCCAAAATTGACACCCTACAAAAATATTTTTCTTTATGTTCTTTTCTATAAGATTTTTTCTATTTAATTTTTTTTAATGTTTACGCTTTTTAAATTAAAAACTAAAACATAAACAAACACATCAGCCGAGGCCTGCAAAGGGTCAGGATCATCAGTATCACTGTCTTGCCCCTTTACATCTTGTTCCACTGAAAGGTCTTTAGTGGTAATAAGATGCACGAAGCTGTCATCTCCTATGATTATAATAATGACTTCCTCTGGAATACTTCCTGAAGAACTTGCCTAAGGCTGTTTTACACTCAACTTTATAAAAAATATCTGAAAGGAGAACATTCTAAAGTAATGATGAAAAGTATAGTATAGTACATATGTAAACCAGTAACATAGTTGTATATTATCATTATGTAACTGGCAGTCCAATAGTTTTGTTTACAGCAGCATCACCATAAACGTTGAATAATGCATTGCAGTACATTACAAAGGACACAATGTCACTAAATGATAGGAATTTTTCAGCTCCACTATTGAAGCACCCTCATATATGCAGTCCATTATTGACCAAAACATTGTTATGGGGTACATGACTGTATGCATACTCATATTTTGTATGAATGTGTATATGTACTTTTCTGAAGCACATACAACTCATACTAGAACTGCTATGTTGCATCCATTAGTTTTCTGTTAACAAGATTGTAGACATGTTTAAATATCAGTAATATTAGAAGTCAGATTTCTAGGTCAAAAGATGCGTGCAGTTTCACTTTGATAGTTTCTAAATTGCCCTCAGAAAGGTTATGCCAGTTTATACTCTCACCAACAGTGTTTGAGAGTCTCTTTTTTTCCCACACCTATAACAACAGATAAATCTTTCAATCCGATATGTTAACAAAGGTCTCATTGTTTCATTTACTTGGTTGTAAGAATGGTTGGCTCTGATTTATATACTTGTTGCCCCATTTTGTTCTTTCTGTAAGCACTCTCTGCTTGTGTCTTTTGACTATATTATTATACAATAATTATAAAGGCTAAAATATATTGGATAGTTATTCTGTGCCAAGCACTGTTTTAAGTAATCTGCCAGTATTACGCAATTTAAGCCCCATAATAGAAACAAGAATTATTTTAATTTTCATTTACATTTTTTTTAAAATTGAGGCAAAGAGAGATTAAGCGACATTTGTATATAGACTTACAGAAATATTAATAGATGGAGTCAGAACTTGAATTCAAGCCCAGTAGTTTGTGTGTTTACCTCCTGTGCAGCATTACCTTTTATTATCACATTGTTTGAATTTTTCATACTATGTAGGGAATACTTTTTCTAAGTTGAGAAAATTAATTCATAACATTAATAAATAGATGTATTAAGGAAATTACCCCTATATTAAATGATCAATAATCTCTTTTTTTCTCAGTAAAATATTTTTTATTTTTATTTATTCATTTTTGTGTATATTTTGTTTTCATTAAAAGGTTCTATTCAGATGTAAATCAAAACCTCTGGGACATCATACTATTTTATTAAGTTATGAGACTTCAAAAATTCAATCACTTATTTTGTTGTATCAGAGTCTAAAAATCATTTTGGTCAGTTATATTTTAAAAGACTGCTTTAAAATTTCAACAGCACCTTCCCTTTTTGCTCTTTCTCTTTGCCAGTTTAACCAATATCCTTATCTCTTCTCAGTGAACATGAAGAAGAATTCACCATTTCTATTTTGAATGTGCACAGAGATTTGTATTAAATTAATCTTAATTTCCTCTATTAAATTAAATCAAATTAAATCTTTAATGTTTGTTTACAAATTTTTTGAGAATTTTTCATGTACGATGGTGAACTGACTTTAGTTTTTTAGTACACCCTGAAAACAAACAAAAAACAAGAATGACAACTCTGCTTTTTAAATGAAGATCCTAAAGAACACAGGGATGAGCTCAAAGACATTTTCTATTCTTGTTGGCCAAATCTTCTGAAATATATATGAGAATTCCCTTTCATAGGTATAGTACAACATGATGATTTATATTCAACTTAGTACTTTTGGTTCTAAGATATATTCCCCCCATATCATATCTGTGTAAGTGTTGTATCTTTTTAAAATTAGATGGTATTTTTTTCCCACTTCATATTTACACTTTATGTATTTATTTATAAAATTTATCTTGGCGGCCGGGCATGGTGGCTCACGCCTGTAATCCCAGCACTTTGGGAGGCTGCGGCGGGCTGATCACTTGAGGTCAGGAGTTTGAAACCAGCCTGGCCAATCTGGTGAAACCCCGTCTCTACTAAAAATAAAAAATTAGCCGGGCATTGTGGCGCATGCCTGTAATCCCAGCTACTTGGGAGGCTGAGGCAGGAGAATCGCTTGAACTCAGGAGGAGGAAGTTACAGTGAGCCGAGATCGCGCCACACCGCACTCCAGCCTGGGTGACAAGAACAAAATTCCGTGTCAAAAAAAAAAGAAAGAAAAGAAAAATTATATTATGCGTTGCTGAACCTGAGTCACTTCAGTTGATATAAAAGCCTACGTTTTTAAAGATTGTAATTTTATATACAGCTAATTGCAGTTTGCTCTCATTATCCATTGAGGAAGGGCTCCGCAAACCCTGTGGATACAAAAAGCTGTGGATGCTCAAGTCGCTTGTATGAAATGGTAGTACAGCCAGCACTCAGTATGTGTGGCTCTGCATCGGTGTACTCAGTCAACAACCCTGGATCCAAAAGCCGGCCCTCTGTGTCCACGGGTTCCACATCACATACGAAGGGCTGACTGTAAATGACAACAATTTTCTTTAAAATTATAAAATATTTTAAAATATTACCCAGTAGCTGGGGAAAAGGAAAGGCAGGCGCTTAACATATGTGCCAGTCATGAACCTAGGTATTTTATACAAATTAATTACTCAGAAAGCTTATGAGGCAAATATTATTATTTTCATTTTACAACGGAGTGGCTCAGCGAGATCACTACAAACTGTTTTGGCTCCCAAGCCTACGTTCTTTCTTCAGCAGGATGACATTTTATACAGCATTATCACCAAACATAACTCTGTCCTAACACTGAAGACATGTTTTGGACAAGAGTATATTTTGAATATGAAAATGTCATTTGACTATATTAACTTCCATTTTAGTAGAGCTGATGTTGCTCTGTAATGAAGTGAATAAAATAATAATAAAAACTAACATTTACTTCATAAAAACACATTTGAGTTAAGTTTTATAAAGCCATTCAAGCACTTAACTCACTCACTCATGTAATAGTTATTTATCTTGAACTTACTAGGTCCAGAAAAATACTCTGTGTTTTAAAACCTGGGCTCTACCCTACCAAAAACGGAAAAGAAGCTGGAAGAAAGCACTTGGAAAAGTAAAACATATTTACACTTGATGAAAAAATATGGCACGTGAAAAGTTGAGTCACACTTGTGAGGTTAAAATGTTTACTGCCAATATTTTTAAAACTTTGGAGCAGAATGAGGGAAAAATGTAAATATTCCATATCTAAATGTTATGTATAAAATATTAATATTATACTGCATTTCTTTCTAGAATATTTTCAAAGTACATCGTTTATGTATTTTAGGTCAATGTCTTGTTAGCTACACATCACAACCCATTTTTTGGTCAATAAATCACTTTAACAGGTCACAATTCAAATTCTTTTAAAATTAAATTAAAACAGAGAGAAAAAAGAAAATGTCAATATACATTATATTTAATGGGATGACTATTGTTTTGAAAAACCTTTCTTTTTTTTTTTTTTTTTTTTGAGACAGAGTCTCCTTTTGTTGCCAGGCTGGAGTGCAGTGGCACCATCTCGGCTCACTGCAACTTCTGCCTCCCGGGTTCAAGCGATTCTCCTGCCTCAGCCTCCCGAGTAGCTGGGACTACAGGTGCGCACCACCATGCCTAGCTAATTTTTGTATTTTTAGTGTAGAAGAGAGTTTCACCATGTTGGCCAGGATGGTCTCGAGCTCTTGACCTCATGATCTGCCTGCCTCGGCCTCCCAAAGTACTGGGATTACAGGTGTGAGAAAAACTTGTTTTATTTGTGTATTATGTATGCATATATGAGGGTCATAGGTACAATACACTTTTTATTTTTAAAAATGGAAACTAAAACATCTGAAAAACATTGATTTAGATCATTTCATATGTTAGATGTCAAATTCTGCTTTTTCATAAAAATAGCATTTTTCAACTTTTTATATTTTTTTAAATAAATACAATTGTCTCCACTCATATAATATTCCCTCAGGTTGTTCTCATTAAATTTGATCAATTACTTCATTTTGGGCATTTTGGTTATTGATATTTTTTACTATAACAAATAATGTAGTGACTTTGTTAGACTTTACATTTACTTTCTTGAAATATATTCCTACAATTACTACTATGAAGTAAACAGACAATAACAATTAAAACAGTATTTAGAACTACTGGTTATTTAATTTTACTTATTTACGTTACTACATTGAAATTCCTACTTATTTACAAGTAAAATGTGACATTACAGTAAATTTAGAAGAGAAAAAACACACACTTTTACTATACAAACACTATAATTTTTTTTAAGTATTTACTCATTGTTTGCAATGACTATTTTTCAAGGCGCAAATCGTCTACCTAAAACAAATCGCAATACTGAAAACTAAGAATAAATGAGAGGCACTGGTACCTGGAAAGGTGGACACAAGACAGAGGTGTGAACCTGCCTTCGTTTAAAAAAATAGAAAAGATATTTGTATAAGAATCTGCATAACATACACATTGTAAACAGAGAGCAAGATGCTCACATGATGGAAGAATAACTGTCTCATGCCATTAAAAAGAGAGAACATTTTTTTCTTTTTCAACAAAGATACTCAAAATTATGGAAATACTTATTTTGCATGGGGATTTTCATTTTTAGTACGATCCTGAGCAAGGGCCCCAGACTAATTTGCTGACCAAGAAATGATGAGCATGAGGACAAGCCGTACCATTCAGATTCATGGATCAAAAAGTCCAAGATCAACTACCAGTAACAAATGTTAAAGCTGTCAAAAAATACTCAGAGCAACAAGCTGGAATGCATTATGCAGCAGCCTAAGGTGAGGGATTACCTCCTGTTTATTCAGGCAGCTCAAATGTGGAAGCAAAAGCCACTGTACCTGATCCGTTATGACTTTGAAAAGTGAAAAGAACACACACTAGTTAACACACAGAGTTCGGAATTGGCAATTAGCTAGCCCTTGGCCTGAAGAGTGTCATTCATTTATGGACCAATGACCAGGAGCCTGGCAAAATGCTCCTTGCTGATTAGGTTCAGAAAATTCTAAGTGGGGAAAAGAGGAAGATCCTTTAGCAACACAATGAGGCCTGCATTTTTACTAACCTGGAGAAATGCAAAGGTTTGATATTATTTAAAAAACAAAAATGAAATTCAATGTGGAAAATCTGTTACATAGGGATTGGGGGAGGAGATATAATTGTGTTATCTTCCAGCATCCAAGCCTTACGTGTATAAAGAAACAAGAAGGTAATTAGGAATACCACAAGATTTCCCAAAGGCTGGATTTATCTTGTGTAACAAATTCTCTGGCAGCTTTCTAACATTGCTATTTGGGCCTCCTGTCTAAATGACCAGAGTGAATCATTCAAAAGTTATGTTGAAAAAAATTTATTAAGCTCTCAAAAAACTCTATTCTTCCCACATCATACTTGTTTCTGTAAATTATCCTGCATACTAACTCTTTCTCTCTTCTGCAAATACTATTCAGCAAAGCAGGACAGTGAGGAAAGCAGGACAAAGAGTACTGATAATCAATGCTCTTATATCCCAAATTTGTACAGATAATTTCTACCATTAGAGATTTACTACTTTGTGTCAGCATGTCTTTTTTTAAAATGTTAACATCAAATTGGGATACCATATAAAAGCAATAAATGGTCACCCATTCTTTAATATAAATTAAACAAGTCCAGCGCTTTCTTTCAAACAGCAAGTTTACTGTATAACTTGGGCGAAATGGGAGGTATGCTGAGAGAGAAGAAAGAAAACATACTGGAACACAATTGAGTCTTGAGAAGAGGCCATCCCAGTAGACATAAAGTCAACCAGAAGTCAGAAGTGGGACAAAAAGGATCTGACTTAAGAATTTATTAAGTGGCTGCAAAATATTCAAAGACTATTTTATTTCTGCTTGCCTCTTTCCCCTGCTTTTTACATTCTCTTCTCCTTTCCTTTTTCACTTAGAATTAGGAGAGCAATAAACTATGGTTTCTGCACTCAAGAAGTTGTGGTCTGTTAAGGAAAGTAGCACCAAAGACAACTATCTGTAATGCAATTTCAAGGTCAAGGGAACTCTAATCACAAGTGGTTAAGTCTATGGAGTCAGCAAAAGAAGGTTTCAAAGAGTGAAGAATCTTTCATTTGGAGCTTGAAGAACGACTTTCTAACAATTTACTTGATGTTACAGTAACTTCCTGCTTAAAATCCAAAGTTCTATTAAAAATATATACATTCATCCACAACAAGAGTAGAAATATTAAATCAGACAACTGAATTGTTAGTGTGTCTCAAATGTAAAATTATATTTTAATTTCTTTTCTTTCTTTTTTTTTTTTTTTTTTGAGACGGAGTCTGGCTCTGTTGCCCAGGCTGGCGTGCAGTGGCTCACTGCACCCTCCGCCTCCCGGGTTCAAGCGATTCTCCTACCTCAGCCTCCCAAGTAGCTGGGGCTAAAGGCCTGTGCCACTATGCCCGGCTAATTTTTTGTACTTTAGTAGAGACGGGGTTTCACCGTGTTAGCCATGATGGTCTCGATCTCCTGCCCTCATGATGTGCCCACCTCAGCCTCCCAAAGTGCTGGGATTACAGGCATGAGCCATCACGCCCAGCCACTTTAATTTCTTTTGGATCATATAAGAGTAAAAACACTTGTCTAAACCCATGGGTGCTAGGATTATTATCAAAATATTAGTTTACATCAAAACTCTACCTTTTCTAAAAAAAGTCAGTTTGTTGATCATATTAAAATTACCTTAAATCTGTGCAGCCCCTGTTCACCACAGATTTATAATTCAAATACATTCACCTAAATATGGGTGAGAAAAATCTTGTAAGCCAAGCATCTCATTGAACAATTAACACACAAATATAAAGCAAAAAATGAATATTAAAAAGTAACATATAAATCACTGTATTACACTAAGATTTTTGTTACAAATACATTGTAATTTAAACGATGTATCTTGCTAATTTAACTCAATTTGGTTCATATTTATTGAATAATTATTAACTAAAATGGATTTTGCCATTAAAGTAGTTTAACAGAAAGGAGAAATGAGGTACAATTCCTTGCCATCATAGAATATAATATATATTACAAAAAAAATTCCATTATATGTAATAGATATAGATCTATTTATCTGTCTGTCTACCCATCTATATGTCAATTATCTGTTATATGCCTGGAACAGTATTATTAGAAGCTGCGGATGACAAAATAAAAGACCCAGGTTTTTGTCCTTCAGTACTTTGCAGTCCAACAAAGGTGAAAGATATATTAACAATCAAGTGCTATATTACAGATTTTGCCCTAAATTACATTGAGAGGCACACTTGTTTCACACTCACAGCATTGCAGAAAGCTTCCTGGAAGTGATTATGTCTGAACTGAGCTTGGGAGAATGCATAGCTCTTAGGTGGTTGAGAAACAAATGAATATGAGGCTGAGAATCTAGCATATCTTTTACAGAGAATATGATCCCCTTTTACCCAGACACGTTGCTGTCTTTTCTTGGGAACAAACTTTATTCATAGTTGTGTAGCAATAAATAAAGATGGATCACCCGGTTTTGACAACCCAAAGGGATGACAGGGTTAAAGAGGGGTTGTCTCACATTCTAGTAATTAGTGTATGCGAACATGGTGGGCATGGAATGACAAAACACATTAAGGAAGTGAAGGGAAGAAAGATGTAGAGTTACATAGGGAAAAGGTTATAGAGGAATACGCATAGTATAATCCTAGTAAGAACCATATTTGTCAAACTGCAAGTAAAAATTAAAAAGGACTTAAAAGTGCTATAAATAAAGATGGAAAGGATAGATATATAACAAATATTTAAGATATAAAACTGGTAGTGTTAGATACTCTTTTTAATATAAAAGTTTGGGAAATTGTAACCCAAGATAATTCCTAATTTTCTAGCCATGCAGAATGACTGAAATATGATGTCATTTACTAAAATGTGGACTGAAGGTGAAGAAAAATACTTTGGGAAGGAGAAGACATGTTAAAGAAAGGACAGATGAGTTTGAAGTGCCTTTGGCAAACACAGGTAAAGATGAAAAGTGAGACATCATATAGGTCTTTAGTTTACCTCTAGGAGGGTGTATGGTTTAGAAGAGTAGGGACCTAGAGCATAACTGTGCTTTTGTTGAAAATAAGTTACTGTTGGGGTGTATTAGTTCATGTTCATACTGCTATAAAAACTGCCTGAGACTGGGTAATTTATAAAGAAAAGAGGTTTAATTGACTTACAGTTCAGCATGCTTGGGGAGGTCTCAAGAAAGTTATAATCATGGAAAAAGGTGAAGGAGAAGCAAGGCACCTTCCTCTCAAGGCAGCAGAAAGAAGTGCCAAGCAAAGTTGTGGGGAAGAGCTCCTTATAAAACCATCAGATCTCCTTAGAACTCACTCACTATTATGAGAACAGCGTGGAGGAAACCACCCCCCCAACCCCCGTGATTCAATTACCTCCATCTCGTCCCTCCCTTGACACTTGTGGATTATGGGGATTACAATCCAAGCTGAGATTTGGGTGGGGACACAAAGCCTAACCATATTAAAGACACAAGAAAAAAATAGCAATATTTGAAATATTTGAAAAAGCATCGTTCTAAATAAATACAAATGAGGTAAAATGAACCCTGCTACCTGTACTGTTTTTCTCACCCTCTACAATACAGACTGTTGATAAAAACCATCCAACATAGATGTTAGCAATGGACAACATAATACAATTGAATTGTCTGTTGCAGAATTATAAAATAATGGAGGTGTTGAGGGAATACAATGTTATGAGGCCGAAGATTAGATACATGTACAATTTGTGGATTAACCTATGCAGGGGCAATTTCAGAAGAGCCATCAGCGTTGTACCTATGAATAATTCTAAGCCAGAAATCCCTGGTTGATGACCTGATTATGATGACAATCATTTACGCTAATAAAAGATGGAAAAGAAGATAACAGAATCACTAAATGCCTATGAGTCAGGCCTTCCACATTTTTAAAATCAAATACTGAAAATACTGACAGGTGAGTGTATCATCTTGGAGAATGTGAATGACATATGCAATGTCAAACAGTCAGAGAGAAAATTAGTTTTCAAACCAGGTGTGCCTTATTTCTAAGACAGAATAATTGCATTATTTTATAAATAAAGCACTAATAATATTTGCTGAGTGGGTAATTGAATGAATGGTTGAATCACTGATTCCACTAATAACAAAAATATCTTTTACCTGTGGATAAAATTCAAAACTTTTTTTGTCCTAAGAATGGGCTCACTTGCTACTGAAGAAGCAAATCAGTTCTTTTGCAACTGCAGCATCTTGCCTGATGCCAGGAGAAAGTGGCTGTGTCAGTGGTTTCTTGAAGGATGCATGTACATTTCAGGTTTACTTAGTTGGGAAAGGACTCACAGAGGAAGTAGTTATTTCAAATATTCTTTAAACTAAATGTTAGTTAAACAAATCTAGGGTTATTTAAACCTATTCTGAATGATTTGCATTAACTTCAATGTTTTCTCCCTTCATAATTGGCTTGACCTGGATCTCATTCATTTCATGAAGGAGCAGAACAACCATTACTATAAAGCCAATTGCTGAGCAGAAGCTTGTCACTGAGCGTCCCAATTATAATTCCAGCAGAATAGTAGATTCAACTCAATTCTATGAACAGCACAGAACAGCATAGGTGATTCAACCATTCATTCAATTACCCACTCAGCAAATATTTATAGTGTTTTATTTCTGACATAATGCAATCATTCTCTCTTACAAATAGAACACATACACACACAGATGCACACAAACACACACAAAACAGAGAATATATACAAATACACGTATGTATGCATGGTGCATATATCAAGGATCTTCACTGTGCACACAAATTTCTGAAGTCTTTTTTTCACAAAAGGCATACAGATTACAGGTAAGAAAAAATAACTTTCATATAGCTTTGCTAGGAGTATAAATTTTTGAAACATTTTGGAAGAAATTTGTTAATATCTAAAAATATTTAAATAAACATACTTATTGACAATCAATTTCAGTTCAGTAATCTACACAAAAAAGTCTAGATAAGTAGATAGGACATCTGCAAATAGGAATACACCCATTGCTATTATGTTTGTATGAAAACAATGCAAAATAATTCAAATATGCTTAAACAATACATACATAAATTAAGATATATACAATTCATGGAATACTATGTAGCCATGAAAAAATAATGCTATGCATATATACAGCATAATGTCCCAAATATTTTTAGGTGACATTAAATAGAAAGCAAGTTTCACACAGAATGTATAGAGAGAAGGAAAGAAAAAAGAAAAGAAAGAAAGGAAAGAAAAAGGAAATTGATAAACTTTTGGGTAGGTATAAACATTTTTCTGGAAATATACAAGGACTCTGAAAAATAGAAACGAGAGTTTAGAAAAAAATATTTTTTCCATTTTAAGCTCTTCAGATCTCATTTGTTTATCTTCCATTAAAACAAATGTGTTAGCTTTACAACTTTTTTTAAAGGTATCATTGGAATTAATTTGAGTGCCTTAAAAGAGAGGTTAATCCATTTGTTCAAATGCTTTGAGTTACTATCACTGCATATAAACAAACTCTCAGGATTTTGATATAAGATCAAGATCAGCAATAATTTGTAATACTTTCAGTGGCAAAAATCACAATTACTTTTGCGCCAGCCTAATATTTGAGTGTGTTTTGCCTCTGTTTTTTTCATTATCAAACAAATCTACTCCTATAGTCATTACACTATTTTCACTCTTCTCCAACTTTCAGATCCCCATTTCATTGGAAGCTACAACCCAGAACTCAACATGGTGAAATATTTGAAACCAGCCATTTTTTTGCCATTCTTTTTCAAAGTCAAAAATAAGCACATGATACAGAATAGTAGTCATAAATACTCTTGCCAAAGCCTATATTTTTTACGTAAGTCTAACTTTTTCTATGGCACCCAATACATAAAGAAAGAGGTAGGATTTTATTTATGTTGTGACATGAATTTCATAGGAAACACATCAAAAACAGAAAACAATATGGCCTGAAAAATATAACTGTTCAATTGATTAAACATTATAAATATCTCATTGTCAGCAAAAGGAAATATGACATGTGTCAAATAAATATCAAAATTGAGTTGACTAACATTTTCAAAATTGTTAGAATAAATAAATTTTTGTCAACAACTCGTGTAGAATTTTTATGAGACAACATGGATACTAACTAGGTGTCTTAGTCCATTTGTTCTGCTATAACAGGATACAGATACCTGAGACTGGGTAATTTATAAAGAACAGAAATTGATTTCTCGTGGTTCTGGAGGCCGGGACGCACAAGACCAAGGCACCAGCAGGTTCAGTTGTCCGGTGAGGGCTGCATCCTATGGAAGGGAGGGAGGCTGCATCTTCACATGACAGTAGGCAGAAGGGCAAGAGACTGAACGCTGCATGCAAATGCTTTCTTAAGGGCCTTAATCTTATTCATGAGGGAGAAGTCCTCATGGCCTTATAACCTCCTAAATCCTCACGTCTACATACTATCACACTGGGAACATTTGAATTTTGGAGGGGACACATTCAAACCATAGCACTAGGTATAACATTTTTGTTAAAAATTCATGAAGAACAGAAATTACTAGGAAACAGTTCACATTCCAATTTGGGAATAGTGGGGTGTTAACTATCTCAGTAGGAATAGAATTCAAAGTAGCAGTGACAAAATTTAGATATGATATCACTGACCAAAAATATCTTCTATCTGATAAAATGCTTTTGATTGAGAAAGAAAGCAGTAACTCAATAGTGCTTTAAGCCAACAAGGGGATGTATTGGCTCATGTGATTGCAAACATCAGAGGTAGAGCTGCCTTTATCATGACATCGCTGGAATTTTGCTTTACCAAACAAACCTCCATCTCCTAGATCTCCTTACTCAGTTGTGTCAGTTTCATCCTAAAATTAGTTTCCCTAATTACAAAAATGGCTGCAATGGTTTTGGATCTCACACACTCTCACTGCAATGTGCACAAGAAGAAAAATTATTTCTTTTACCTCCTTCAAGGGAAGAAGGAAGATTTTTCCCAGAAGCCCTAACTACAAACTGAGGCATCATTTTTCCCTAATAGCTTATGTATTCATTCTTAAACCCCTCACTGGTGACACAGGTATGAGATATAATGGTTGGCTTCCACAGATCAGAGCCTATTTGTATATCATTGGCAGGAAACCAAACTTATTCAAACTCCGTATCTGAATACTGTGGAGGTGGGTGGGAGTAGGGAGGAAATTCTCAAAGGAAAGTTTGGGAAAAAGGGAACATTGATGCTAGTTAGGGAGAGGAAAATGGAGGAATTAACACAATGAGAATTGCTTAAGAAAAATTACCTAGATTTTTGTAGAATGAATTAGAATAAAAAAATTAGTTGGAAACAATTACAATAACTCAGAATCAAGCTAATAAAAGCTGTGACTAACAAGTTAACTGTGGTAATGAATAGATAAACCAGAGATGGGAGGTCGAAAACTATAGCAACAAATGACACACTGACTTTACACTGAACTGCGATAATGCTATTTAGAGCTACAAAAAATGCAGTACATTTATTACACATTATACTTATTATAAAAATCAATACTGTTTAGAGATCACTATTTTGAAAGAAATTAGAGAAAAGCAACAAAAATGACAAAAAGACATGGAAAATGTAACCTATTGTCTCTCAGCCTCTAAACTCACTGTAGCTCTATGCGGACCCATTAGGTAACCATAAAGATGTTACTTGGCAGCATGTATAAAATTGGCAAGACTATACGCCTGAACACACAGTAGCTAACATGTAGAAAATGATATCTCTGGTCAAAATCAACTCTAGAAAAAATTGTCTGATGATTAGAACTTTGATGGCCTTTGGAACACTTTGGAATTTACCCTAAACAAGTCTCACCTGGAGACTTAATTTCCTAGGTAAATTTCTGAACCTATCAGTAGTGTATTTAACAAGCAGTTTTCTGATGTGAAAACGATGATTCCTAGTATGTCCCCATTTTCCTTATTCAGTAATATATTCTCTTCACATTTTCACTGTACCTGTAATCTGTCAGGTACATCCCATCTTTTACAGTGGTAGGAAGAAGTCTCCAATTTCAAACAATGAATATCTAGCAGAGTTTATTTTCAAGCTCATAATCTTAGGATTATATATTGAGTTGAGCTACATGTATGTCATTCAACTCTTTTTGAATATTCTGTTTTTATTCGTTTGTTTCCTCCCTTTTTGTTTGCTAGTTTTGTTTAGTTGTCCTGGCCCATGTTATTACTGCCCTTTCTTGGAGAGCTAGAAATAAGTTTTCTTTCTGGGTTTTGCCACTACTAAGTTCCTACAGAAAAGGGGAATTTTCTATCTGGGTTACTAGCTTTTTTGTGGCTTCAGCTGTGAGCATTTTTCTTCTTAACAGCCAGAACTTACATCAAAGGCAGTGTTCCCTTGTCTGTTCTCACAAATGGCTTCTGACTAGTTTTATCAAGACATCTAACTCATCAAAGCAATCTATTTCTCCCTAGTTTATTAGGTTTTTAGAAACATACGGGTTTACTAAATAACCTGTTTCCATAAAATTTCACAGACCAGCATTAAGTTAATATTTTTCCCATCTGGGATTGTTATATTTTTCTCTTTTGGGTCTCTAATTATTGGTATAAGTTACTTCTTTTTTAGAATGCTTTCATGTGGTATGCCCTGTTTAACACACTTTACAAATATTTTCTCTTTCAATCCTCAAGGCTGTGATATAGGAAGTGCTAACATCTACATTTCACAGATGAGTAAATTAAGCTCTATGAGAATAAAATCAAACAACTAGGAAGCACTGGAAGTGTATACTTGAATTCTGGCCGACGATATTAAAAGCCTAATTTATTTAACCAGTATGTTTTGCTTCTCTCTATTTTTCGTTCCTTTGAATTATGACTAGCAGAGGTCTACATTTAGGGTTGACTTTACACAGGCTGAAAACGTATGAAAATCCATAGTTATTTATGAATGGAGAGTGTTTTCACAACATCCAACCCCAGTTACTTACCACCTCTTGAGAAGGCATCCTAACAACTTCACAGAGATTGCTATGCATCTTTCACTCAAATACATCATCTGGACTATCTTACATGATTTTAAGTAGTAGAGAGGCAGAATTTGTTTAATGCCTGCATTTTGTTTCCTCAGCCTCTTGCTAGACAGCCACTGATCTATCTATCTGGGAATTATGTGTATGCCTTTACAAATGTTCCCATTTGCTGTTCCCATATACTTTATAGGAAACTTACATTAGGTAAGACCTGACAGTTGAACTGTATTTCTTTCAAGACATTTTTAATATGTCAAGTACTATATTAAAAATGAGATGGTGAAAAACATTCTTCTCCTTAGATTTATGAGGTCAAAGCATTTTACATTTCATCCTACCTTTCTGACCACTTAAAAAAATCATTTTCACTGCAGTGAGCCGAGATCTGGCCACTGCACTCCAGCCTGGCGACAGAACGAGACTCTGTCTCAAATAAATAAATAAAATAAATCATTTTTCATGGGTTCCTAGTCTTTGACACATCACTTAAACGTTAAACTTCACAGAGTGTGACCTCAGTCCTCGTCACGCTTCTCTATCAAAAATAGATGCATGATTACTTCTATTATTGTGATTTAATAAGCATGTATAAAGAATCACTGACTCCTAATCTCTATCTCAGCTTATTGTACTCTAAGATACTCAACAGTTCACAAAACATTTACACTTGGATATACCATAGACATTTTAAATTAATGTGCTTAAACAAAAATGTGTACCCTTTCCCACATTGCTCTTCTTTCCTTCAATACATAATTCCCATGTCAGTAAGTGGTGCATTCATCCACTCAGTCATCCAAGCCAATAAACTAAACATTTTCTTCTTTCTCAGTCTCCCAACCCAGTCACCATATTATATTGGTTTTATCTTCTATCTTTCAAGTCTCGCTCTGCACTTCTTACTACCTTAGATTAACCCTTCTCTAATTATTTTCTAGATTTGTACACCATCCTCTCAATTGCTCTTCTGGATTAAAACACTCCCCCTTCCGTAATTTATTCTCTACCCTGCTATCAAAGTGGCTTTTTTAAAGGATAAAGCTCTCTACTTCCAGAAAGCCTTCATTACATTCAGGGAAGAATGCAATCTTCATCGCATGATACACCATGGCCTTTATGCATGTGCTAGTGTGACTTTGGTATATATTTTCTCTTACAAAATTGGAGTTGATGCTCTGAAAGGCCTACTCAGAAGCCATGAAAACTGCTATTTCTCTTTCTGACTTTCTATGTGAGTGGGCCATAACAAAGACTTGCTAATTCCAGAAAGCGCCATATCTCATAAGATATGTACACGGCAAATGGCTTAGTTTTAGCAATATATGAAGGGATGATTTATTTATTTTTAATTTTTTGAGACAAAGTCTCGCTCTGTTGCCCAGGCTGGAGTGCAGTGGTGCGATCTCAGCTCTCTACAGCCTCCGCCTCCAGGGTTCAAGCTATTCTCTTGCCTCAGCCTCCTGAGTAGCTGGGATTACAGGTGTGCACCACCATACCTGGCTAATTTTTTGTATTTTTAGTAGAGACGGGGTTTCATCATGTTGGTCAGGCTGGTCTTGAACTCCTGACTTCGTGATCTGCCGCCTTAGCCTCCCAAAGTACTGGGATTACAGGCATGAGCCACCACGCCCAGCAGGGGTGATTTAAATAAAGGTATTGGAGAGATACATGTGTGGTAATTTAAAAATATTAAGACCCTGTATCAACACTTTTTAGTGTTTTTGATTTTATCTATAAAAGTTTATATTGGAAAATGACTACCTTTGCACCAATTATAATTAATTGTAACAAAATATGAGCAAGAATCTGATGTCTTTTAAAATGTGTGAAAAAAATGAACAGATACTGTTCTATCACTTTTAAAAGTAGGCTTTCATTTAAAACTCCAGTTCCCTAAGGTCAAGATTAATATCCTGGGAAGAAACAATAATTATACAGCACTGGAAAATCAAACGACACCTTTACTTGGAGCTAAAAATGAGGGCATGCCCGTCAGCTTGGTTAGCCTGCACTCGTTCAGCTATATAAGAAAGCATGTGACTCCTCACCATAGTCATCTGTGGTAAGCTAATTATCACAGACTGTCCAGGGCTAATAGCCTGGGAAAATCTATGTAAAACTTTTATTTCCAGAGTAGACTTTTTTTCCCTACAGTGTTTTTCTTCAGGCATTAAAGTTACATCAGCTTCCTGGACCCCATTACAAGAAAGTAACAAGATTTTCTTCACCTTTTAAATTCAATATCTAAAAACTGTTAGTATTTTGTGAAGCAATTATTTATCCCAATAAGGATAAAAGGTATACAGTTCAAAGGATTTAGCCTTGCTATTAAATATGTTAGACAAATGGATATATTTTAGGATTAAATCTGTTTTAGGTCTCGTAGCTTAATATAGCCTGGTGAGAAAGTAAAAGGGTATTGCAACTCCATTATTTTGGAGTTACACCTTAAATGCTGAGTAGACACATTAATCTAAAGATTAAGAGGCATTCCATCTGGGCTTTGGTTTGCCACATGGAGTTGATTACTTCTAAATTTGGTCGATTACTACGGAGTGAGTTCCATCAGATCCAGGGGAGAATTCGAAAGCTCTGACATGAATGTCTCAGAGTGGTACTACACCAAAATTAAATAAATGTGGAGGCATCTCTATAGATTTTAATTCTCAGGAAAACAACTTTCTGCAATATTTCTTTTTCGTATAATAAATGATTAACAGAAGATTAATAAAATCGGTAGCTACCAATATCAGAATGAGTATAGAATTTAAAGTTATTAAATTTAATTTTAATTCCAATTCTACATGACTATATAGATTGCTTTTGAAGTTTACTACCTTTAGTAAATCTTGGTAAAATCTTATAGAAATTTAAATATTGTATTTATAATAATGAGAGTTACAGAGCACATGTAAGGTAAGTAAATCCTTTAACTTTCTATTTGTTAAAAAATACATGGACCAATCGTTTGCTCAAATGACATTTGCTCAGGTGGAACTTCCTTGAACACCTCAATCCTCCTCTGCTAATGTCTATCCCTTTACCCTGCCTTTTCTTCTTAACATTTAATTTTACTCATATCATATTATATATGTATTTGTTTTTTTGAACC
Source organism: Homo sapiens (assembly GCF_000001405.40). Classification (NCBI taxonomy): domain Eukaryota; kingdom Metazoa; phylum Chordata; class Mammalia; order Primates; family Hominidae; genus Homo; species Homo sapiens. The sequence continues at coordinate 99,493,610 of NC_000011.10, read as the reverse complement.
TGCACTAGAACCGGAATTTGTTTGAGTCACTGCTGTATCTCTGTCACTTAAGTTTCTCCATTAATATTTGCTAACTGAATTTATAAACTTAATTTATTTTCAAGATTTGGAATTAGACAGCATTGGCTTGAGCTACTGCTCATTATGGCAAAAGGTATAGAATTATCGATACTCAATAACTGACCTATAAAATGAAAATACACATGGCATTTATTGGAGTTGTTCGTTGGGTGCATGAAATGAGCCCAAATAAAAGTACTTTATACACTGCTTTAGCATTTACTAAGATTAATTGTAATCATTATGCTGACTTCATCTTTTGAAACTGTGACTTAAACCAACTTTGAATTCCAACACATTCTTTAGGCGATTTTGTCTTCAAAAAGAAAGAAACAAACTTAACTATTTCAGATAATTTTTGTAAAACTTAAATATCATCAACTATATAAGTTAAAATATAAGTTAAAAATACAAACAAAGCGATGGGGTTCAGGACATGCTATCTCAGAATATGGTGCCTGGGCATTTGAGGTAGCAGTAGAAGCAGGAAGGTCTTTCAAACAGTCTCCTGCATTTCTCCCCTGAAACAAACCATTAAAGAATTATCTGACCTTCCTTTAAAGGAGTCCATAAGTTACTCATTCCAGAGGGACTTTTCCTGTTCCCAGAGAAAAACACGTCCTCATCTCTGAACTGAAGACATAAAGATGCCAAGAAGAATCTGAACAAACGGTCCTCACGGTGTCCCCTCTTCATTTTATTACCATTAGACCATATCCATTTTGTTCATTCACAGTTCTGCATGCCTGGCTCCCCTTCCTCAAATCCAAGCATAAAAATATACAGCTTTTCCTGTTTCTTTGAGTCTTCATTTTGAATAACCTGTGTCATGTAAACATGACATTGAATGAATTTGTTATGTTTTTCTCTTGTTAATGTGTCTTTTGGTTATAGGGGTCTCAGCAATGACCCTTGCAATGGGTAAGGAAAAGATCTTACTTTTTCTCCCCTATACAGAACCAAACCAAATTTTAAAATTAATAGTAATAATAAACTAGATTCTCAACTATCACAGCGCTATAGCACTAATCACCTTCCTTTGAGGTATATCTTTTCAGAAGATTTTAGCATATGAATATGTTATATTAGTCATCACAAAAAGCTACAAAGAAAAAAGAATGCTGAGGTAAACATGAGCTTGGATTCCTGAGAAAGAAAAAATAAATTCTTCCAGTTTAAAGGCCTGAAGGAAGCAAGATTGGAAGATTGGGAGTAAGGTCTATTAAAGAGGTAATTGATATGGCTATTGTCACAAAATATGTAGATCTTTGTTTTTCATAATGATCACCAGAGAGCATCAACTTACAGAGGAGACTTTTAACGAAGAATGAACATGACCCGTCACATAAATGTCAGCCAACATGTCTTCACCCCACCCATCCTGCAATGTTTGAACAATGGGCCATGAACAAAGTATCTTTGTTGGCAGGAATAGCGTGAACCCAACAGATGGCTCCCCTCAACAAAGATAATGTATCTACTGCACTGCTTGGTGTTCTGAATTTCCAACAACAGATACTAAAAATGAGCCTTCAACAGAGCACAATTCCTTGCAGGAATCAGGCTTCAAGTTGGTTATATGACTTCTTCTACCCAGGTTGGGACAGCTCTTTAACAGCTTAAAACCTCTTCAGGATAATGATTTATCTTTCCTTCCTGTGATTCCTACTTGCACCACCATCCAAGGACTTACAAAATATTTTATCTTTTAATATGCAATACCACATGGCACTGCATTAGACCAAGGGAACCATTTTCTGACAAAGCAGCTATGATCATAGGCACATGAAAGCAAAATGTACTGGTGATTTCATGTTCCTCATTGAGACAGTCAGCCTAATAGTTAGATAACTGGCCTGGTAAAGCCTCAGTTAAGAGTCCTTCTCAAGGAAATATGCAACAGAATTGAAATGCTATGCTTCTGGATGTATATTCGATGAATCATTAATTAATATAATCCCAATAGCATATTGTCTCAGAAACAATGGGTAGAAACAGGATTGGTCCCTCCTACCTTAACTGTCAGTATCCACCTTGTGAAATTTGTGTGTCTCCTACTCTGGAAATCTCAGGCTCTTCTATGCTAGAGGTCTGCTTACTAGGGAATAAATACTTCCACCGGGAGTCAATAAGGATTCCTCTGATCATTAACCTCCGAATATAATCAATTCGCCTTTAGTCCGTTTTGACAGTATGTTAGCAATCTTATTACTATGAAAACTAGCCTTGTTGCTCTGAAGACAAGAAAATAGGAATAAGGAGAAAGACTGGAACCCAGGGAATTCTCTGGCACAACTCTTAGCACTACCCTGCCTGGCCTGCTGAACCACTATATGGGAATTCCAGCCAACACGGCCTAACAAATACATGGGAATGATTGATTGAATTTGTATCCCCAATATCCCCTTCTTTGCTTGGAAACTAAAGGAGTACATTGTTCTCACAACTATGGAGACCCCAGATTACAGTATGGAAGCCAGCTGTGGAGGGCAGTAGTGTATCCGTGCTGTGCTATCTGGAATATAGTATTCTTCCCACATATGCAACTTGAGCTCTCCCAGGCCTTACCAGTATTCTGTTTTAGCTGTCCCAATAGTGGTTAGATCTCGGTGAGCTCTGAGTAACCCCACACAAGGGCAACTTCAACAACTGTGCCTCATGCCTGCAGCTCCTGCCCAGAGGATTCCCTAAGGATGGCTCCATGGGACTCAGAAGTATTTGGGAGTTAACACCCAGTGGAGCAAAACTTTTATCAATGAGAGATAGGAAACCATGGATAAACTGTTCCACTTCACTCACCACATGGTGGCCATCCCATATAAACTGAGAAGCAGTAAATTTCTGGTTTCTTTGGGGACATCCTAAGGCATCATGCAATCAGCAGGCAGCTTGCTAATACAGCCTCATGTTGGCTGTCCCTCCTAACCTACTTCACCTTCTGAGCCTCACTTCTACTCACTGGGATCACACTCCCTAATAAGTAACAGTAACTAAGCACTTTGTCTCAGGCTACAATTTCTGAGGAACGCACACTGAAAAATAATCTATTATTTGACTGCATATTTACAAAGTAAGAAGAGTACACTAAAAGTGAATTGTGAGACACTGGTATTCTCCACTAAATAATTATGTATGGACTTTATGGTCAAATAAAAATTATGTTTGTAAGCAGATTACTTTGTTCTCCCTCAATAATGAATTTATGTAATAAACTACAGAATCATGGTGTGGAGAAAAAAAATTATGTAATAACTTAATGTCCAAATGATGAACACCTAAATTATGCTTCTTGAGTTGGTCAAAATTGGTGAATAATTGTCTGAATAATTGTCAAATTTAGCACTTCTTTCTTATAATATTATTAAGACTAATTAATATCACAGAATGACATTATTATTTGTAAGGTATAAGCATATTAAATATAAGTCCCCAATACATTTTTGAAATAAAACTTAGTAATTCTGTTTCTGTGAAGTCATCATATTACTAAATAAGAAATCTAAGAAGTGAAATAACGTGTCTGAATTCTAGGGGTGAATATGTCCAGATATAATAAAAGAGTTAAATGGATGTTAAACATTAAAATTTAAGATCAAGGCACTTGTTTCAATCCCCCATAATATGCAAAAGTATTTATCTTCCTTTTTTAAATGTTTTCCTATTTTACATTCAATCTCTCTCTTTGTCTCTCTCTGTCTGTCTTTCCCTCTCACTTTCACTCTCACTTTTGCTCTTTCATCACTTGCTCTCCCACATTCTCCCTGCAAGAGGTCTGCAGTAGGAATATGATAACATCTGTACTTTCCTGAATTCTTTCTATGGTGTACCAACTCCTGGCAGACTCCACGCTACAGAATGGATATCTTGCTTCACAATTCATAAATATTACCTTAGTCATATCCCTGTTATGTTAAAATAATACATAGACTCTATAATTTAATAGGGACTCCAAGTGACAACAAATTATCTCAGATATTAAGCCTTCATTAATCACAGGTGTCAGTATTAGCAAATAAAGCAATGCTGAGATTCCTTAAAGCCAGGAACCACTAGAGAGAATGAGAAGTTAAAATATATATATGACAAAATCAGATACTGTTAAGAGTAAGCCTGGTGCTGTAAAATACTAAATGGTGCTCTAAATCTTTAGGGGAATCATAGTTCATTGTTTTAACAGCTTCACTTTGTCATGTTTACATGCTTATATACCAGAATAAATAACGCTCTATTGCATTTGAAGGCTGATTTTTATCCAGTTACATGACTCTCTAGAGTAATGCAAACTCACCTGAATGCCACTTAAACTACTTTTTGGCTGAGTTACCTGTAATTTAGCAAGTTGACTAAAAAGACAGCATTTGGCACTTGTATGGCCTGAAAGAAGTGTCTCTAAATCTAGAAAACTCCAAACGGAAAGAAAGTAATCAATTGTACAAATGCAATAAAGGATAAAGAGAAAAGAAAAGCAAGGGTATTTATTTTTTAGAAAAAAATAGTATTTTTTTTTTATCCTTGGCAAATCATAGAGTAGGCTCTCTTGAGATCTTCTGCTCTTGTTTGATAGACGCGATAGCACATAGCATTCTATTTAGATTCAAAAATAGTAGTCTAATACTTTCTGTTTGCTTTTCATGCTAAAACAAGACTTCTAGTATTCAGAACAATGCTCACTTTCCCCTCTTTTTCAGTATCTTTCAATGAACTCCCACAAACATTTTTGTTAATTACATGACTAATCCTCCAAGGAGAAGCAATCTATCCTGACCCAGCATGTGGCAAAGTTAGAATGTGTGGAGTTTTGGTAAAATGATTGCATAGATTCTCATCAATTTTGTTTTCTCTTGCAGTGTATACAGGAAGATTACATTTTCCACAATTCTATGTAATTAAATTGGTACACTATAACTAGTTCTGGATGCAGACAGAATGTAGAAAGTGATGATACACCCAACTTTTCTCTTGGCCCTTAGAATTTCTTGCAAGATTCTTGGTTGAAGACCTAGCCTCCATACTAGTGGTTAGCAGCAAAGATTTTGAGATAAGAAAGCCACACAGTAGAAGGATTCTGGAGCCTGGAAGTTCTTAAAAATGGTGGCTAATGTCTGTAAACCCAGCACTTTGGGAGGCCAAGACAGGCAGATCACGAGGTCAGGAGTTCGAGACCAGCCTGACCAACATGGTGAAACCCCGTCTCTACTAAAAATACAAAAATTAGCCGGCCATGGTGGTGCATGCCTATAGTTGCAGCTACTCAGGAGGCTGAGGCAGGAAAATCGCTTGAACCCAGGAGATGGAGGTTCCAGTGAGCCGAGATCGCGCCACTGCACTCCAGCCTGGACGACAGAGCGAGACTCCATGTCAAAAAAGAGGAAAAAAAAAAAAAAAAAAAAACTTCTTGGAGATTCTTAGAAGAGATTCTTCACTAGCATCAGATGGGAAAGTAAGAAAAAATAAATAAATAAGAAATAATCTTTCATTTGATTAATCCCTCTGGCATTTGGAAATTGTTCATGATAGCAGCTAATGCAAAATATCTTTATTATTGTAGGATTAAATACAATGATCCTAGAGATCAAATATAATTAACTTATAATTAGTTATATTTACTGTGGGATAAATCTTCTCCCACTCTTTCATAACATTTGAGTAAGCCCTCTTGGCTATGCAAGTATGTGGCACGTACAAACTCATTTAGGTGACTGGGAGAGAACTTATTCTTAACTCATTAAAAGTTGCCTTAATTTATATATTTTGTTATAAGGAGCTGGTGTTTGGAGAAGCAATAGGCAAATTTTCATAGGATTAAAGGAGTCTCCTGGTTGAAAAGAAATTAAGACATTCTTGATATTTCATGTTTTTAGGTTTTGTTTATGTGAAGAATGGAGATGATCCAAGTGATGTCTGCTAGAAGGAAAGTGTATTAGGCACACTGAAATGAAACACAACATAAGGAAATAAGAAGAACTCTTCATGAGGATGTTTTCATCAAAGACTATTACGTTTGATTTTGTAAATTCTTCTACAGGGATGTCTGGCTTCCCAGGTTATAAGTGAATATTTGCATTTGCCTCATCCCTACTCTCATCCAACATTTATGCACTGATAAGATCTTGGCATCAGACAAGAAGCATCTTATTTGTGACAATTTCACTGCAGTGGCCTGCTTTATTACATAAGTAATCACAGTGCAGAAGCCAGAAAAAAAGCATGGTTCCTAGGAATTCATCAGTTTCCTTTGTTGAATAAATTGTCATACTGGATCCTTCTTCTGATGGTCTTCAGGTTCACACTTACATCCTACCCTTTAATTAATGTGTCAGCCTTGCTGTATAGTCACTTCACCTTAAAACGTGGTGGACACGTGATGGTAACACTCAGTTCTCCACTTTAACATGCAGAACCAAACTAAATGTCTTCTGTGATCTGTCAGAACCTATGTAGAACTTAGGTACTTTCTCGACCTTCTCTCTGCCAACATCTATTTACTTGGCACTTTTACTCTAATATGGCCAACCATGTTGTTGCAGTGTGTTCTTTCAGGCTGACTCTTCCAAAAATACCAGAGGAAAAGACAGATGCAGTTCCTATGTCCCCTTAAATTACCTTATTTGGGGATTGTATAATATAGCTCACTGTCTATAAGCCTTATTTCCCATCATTTTATAGCCAATAAAAAATTTTTCTAATCTCTTTTGTGTAGTAAGAAAATAGATCTATGTCATCATTCCTTTCCCACTTTATAACTTATGGTTAACCTCTGCACTCTGTTTCAAAAGCCAATATTGATCAAAGTAATGCTTTTGAAGTTAAGATGACAACAACAACAATGCAAAAATCAACAGTCCAGTTTTTGCATTTGAAAGAAATAGTTTCTAAAACTCTTGAAAATCTAAACTACATTTTTAGGTTTTATTTTCACTGAGTTCTTTTGTGTTTTATATTTCAATTTTACAGTTAACTGAAAAATAATCATCACTTTAATTCATATTAAACCATCATTTACTCACACTAATTTACATTAAATAAATTGTTCTAAAATGGAATAATATACTGACTATTATCTAAACAAATTTAACTGTTCTAAAATGGAATAATATACTGACTATTATCTAAACAAATTTCTGGGAACCCATTATTTGTTATGCACTATGCTTGGATACAAAGATTTAGGGAATAAACAATACACAGTATGAGCTTTTCAAAGCTTACTTTTCCAGGTAGAGACATAAGCATAGACAAAAGTATAATGCATAATGGAAATATTATTATATAATCATGGCAGCAAGTCAGAGTATCTAAATTAGTTTATTAAAAGTTGATATGCTCTATGAAAGACATCAACTTGGTCTAGACATATCTGAAAAAGATTAAAGCAGGCATTTTAAACAAATACTATTAACTGAATTGTACTCATAAAAGCAGAAAAGACCAAATAAATTATAAGAATGAACTAAAATACTTCCTCAACGTATTATACAGTAAAAATAAACTCTCTGGGAAAGAGAAAATAGGCAAAAATTGTAGAATTCAACAGCAGGATAACTGAGCCCAGAAGATTCATATTAATTGTAAGCGTATTGTATAGAAACAGAGACAAAACAATTTTTGTAATTATTAGTCCATGATTACAAAGAAAGGTTTTTATAGCTTTTCCAAACCAAGTAAATGAAAACCAATTGCTTGATTGCCTACTATGAATGAATACATTGAGTATTATACTCATTACCTCTCCGTAATTTTAGAGTGGAAATAAAGAATACTGTGAGAAATTTCATGGTTGTAAAGATGTCCAAACTATAAATTGGACATAATAATATTAAGACAGAAATTCAGGGGTTTTTTTTGTCTGTTTGCATTTTCAAGTTTAAATCATTCTGATTAAACAGAGAAAATCTCATTTTATCCTAGTATATATTTTTATTCCGCAGGATGCTTTTATTAATCAATAAACTTTAGAGCATTTTTAGGTTCACAGTAAAATTAATTACAGAGTTTAGAGAGTTCCTTTATGTCCCCTGTCCTCACACATGTACAACCTTCTGTATTGTCAACATCCCAAAACACAATGGTACATATGTTACAATTGATGAGCCTATACTGACAAATCATTATGTCCAAAGATCATTATTTACATTACAGTTCACTTTTAGTATTGTACATTCTGTGGCTTTTGAAAAATATATAATGACACATAGTTACCACTTTAGTAACATATAGAATAGTTCTATTCCCCTAAAATCCTTTGTGCTCTGCCTATTTATCTCTCTCTCCCCACTAATCCATGGAAATCACTTCCCTTTTTTTTTTAAACAATTTTGGGGGGTTTTTGCTTTTTTAATTTTCAAAAATGTTTCATTGACTCATAATGTACATATTTATGGGGTCAATGGCGATGTTGAAATAAATGTAATGTCTAGTGATCAGATCAGAATAATTAGCATATCCATCAAATATTTACCATTTCTTTATGTTGGGAGCATTCAATATCCTCCTTCTAGCTATTTGAAACTATGTATTATTGTTAACTATAGTCATCCTACAGAGCTACAGGACACTAACCTATTCCTCCTATCTAGCTGTAACAAATATCTTGTGTATCCTTTAACAAATCTCTCCCAATGCTCCCCTCTCCCCGGCCCTTCCCAATCTCTAGTATCCTCTGTTCTACTTTTTACTTCTATGAGATAAAGTGTTTTGTTGTTGTTGTTTGTATGTGTTTTTGCTTCCACATATGAATGTGAATGAGAACAGGTGGTGTTTAACTTTCTGTTCCAGGCTTATTTCTTCATAATGTCTTCAGTTCCATTCGTGTAACAGAGAATGATTATTTCACCTTTTTTTTTTGTAGCTGACTAGTATTCTATGGTGTAATACACAACATTTTCCTTATTCATTCATCCATTGTTGGACACCTTGGTTGTCTAATAATGAACATAAATGGGTTGTTGTGAATAATACCATAATAAACATAGAGCTGTAGATGTCTTTTGGATGTACTGATTACTTTCCTTTGAATAAATACCCAGTAGTGGCATTGCTAGATCAAATGGTAACACTGTTTATAGTTTTTCTGAGGAATTTTCATGCTATTCTCCGTAGTGGCTGTAGTAGTTTACATTCCCATCAACAGTGTATGAGAGTTTCCTTCTCTCCACATCCTCACCAGCGTTTGTTATTTTTTGTCTTTTGGATAAATGCTATTCTAGTAGGGGTGAGATGATACCTCATTGTGGTTTTGATTTGCATTTCCCTGATGACTGGTGTTGTTGAGCTTTTTTTTCATATATTTGTTGGCCATTTGTATATCTTAAGAAATGTATATTCAGATAACTCATACTTTTTAAATTGTATTGTGTTTTTTTGTTTTTATTTTTTGCTTTTGAGCTTTTTGAGTTCTTTGTATATTCTGGGTATTAATCCTCGTCAGATCATTGTTATTTCATTCTATTGACCGTTTCCTTTGTTGTGTAGACGTTTTTTAGTTAGATATAGTCCCATTTGTTTATTTTTGCTTTTGTTGCCTGTGCTTTGAGGTCTTATCATCAAATCTTTTTTCAGACTAATGTCCTAAAGCATTTCACGTGTGTTTTCTTCTACTAGTTTTACAGTTTGGGGTCTTATATTTAGGCCTTTTATTTATTTTGAGTTAATTTTTGTATAGGGTGAGAAGGCAGGGATCTAGTTTAATTCTTCTGCATATGGATATCTACTTTTAGCACCATTTACTGAAGAGACTGTGCTTAGCCCAGTTTATGTTCTTGGTACTCTTGCTTTGACTATTTGTCACCTTTTATGCTTCTATACTAATTTTAGCTTCTTTTTTTTCTATTTCTGTGGAAAATGTCATTAGAGCACACCCCCGCAACCCCACAACCCTGGCCAACCAGAAGTGTCAGGAGACCATCAGGTGATGGTCAGGTGGTTGCTACGCTGTCTCACTAAAATAATAATTGGTCACAGCTGGCACCAGGGAGGCTCCTAATAGATACAAACACCTGAAAATGGTGAGCAGCAGCTTCCCAATAAAATCTCCGGAGTTGGGTGAGTGGGCTCAAGAATGTGCACTAAGAGACAAAATCGTGGAGTTTAACTGGTATAGGACCTTCTTCTAGGAGCACTCAACTGGTAAGGGAAAAATGCCTCAAGTGAGCATGCGCACAACTCCAGTAAACACATTGTTGACACTGTGCATGAGACCCCTCTCAAGTACTAGCAGGCCACTGCGCACGAAGAATGGCAATGTATAAAACCCCAAGTCAAAGGTCAAACTGTGTGCTTGAATTTCTCAAGTTGCCAGCTTGGCCCTCTTCCAAGTGCACTTTACTTCCTTTTGTTTCTGTTCTAAAACTTTTTTTTTTTTTTTTTTTTTTTTTTTTGAGAAGGAGTCTCACTCTGTTGCCAGGCTGGAGTGCAGTGGCGCGATCTCGGCTCACTGCAAGCTCCACCTCCCGGGTTCACGCCATTCTCCTGCCTCAGCCTCCCCAGTAGCTGGGACTACTGGCACGGGCCACCCCACGCCCAGCTAATTTTTGTATTTTTAGTAGAGACAGGCTTTAACCATATTGGCCAAGATGGCCTCGGTCTCTTGATCTAGTGATCCACCCGCCTCAGTATTTGAGTTTTAAGAGTTATTTTTGTATTTTGGATAGGAGTCGTTTAGCATACGTGTTTTTTTGCAAATATTTAATCCCAGTCTTGACTTCTCATTTTTTGACATTATCTTTCACAGAGTAAAAGATTTTAATTTTAGTGAAGTTCCGGGTATTAATTATTTCTTTCATGGAACATGCCTTTGGTGTTCTGTCTAAATAAGTTGGTGCCATACCCAAGTTCTTCTAGGTTTTCTCCTACGTTATCTTCTAGGATTTTTATAGTTTGGGATTTTGCATTTAGGTCTATGACCTATTTTGAAAAGCGATTTCGGTTTTTATTTCAAGAAAACAATTGATTTTATTAAATATTTAAAAAGTAAATGCAATATTTCCATTTACTGAAAAGTCACATTTCACATTTGAAAACATTAAGAACAAAAAGCAACTGACTAAATTCACAAGTTACATACAAAAGTAACTCTTCTGGGTTTTTGAAATTTAAGTTTAAATATAACTTATTATTCAACTGTTACAGATCCAACATAGATACAAATGCTAAAATGATACTAGTTGAGAAGCTAACACTAAAGTTTGCACTATAATTTCTTTATCATTTAAAGCAATGTAGAATTACCTTTCTGTTCTTTGCAGCTTTCAAAAATGTGTATCTTGTCTATGGGAAAATAATAATTTTTATTAAAAGTAGCATTTTGCCTAACTTGTTTGGTTACATACTTAATAGGAATCATCTTTCATTGCATCCCTTTGCTCAGTATCTGAAAGGGAAAGGTATAGCGTACTAATTCATATGTTCAGTTCATAGGGAGATTAATAATGCATTTTTATTGAATTTTTATTCCCCTTAAAACCCTCAAAATTTACCTTTTCCTTTATATGCAATCACTGGGAATTTCAGACTCAAAATATTATGTTAGGGATGTTGAACCTTAGCAAGGTATCAATTTATTCATTAATTCTTAAATCATTCTTATAACATTTATTGTGTGCTGATTATGTTCTTATTACACAAAATTTAAGAAAATATCATCTCTTCCCTAAACAATCACCTCCAAGGAGATATAGAAATATAACAGTATAATTGCAGTACAGAGAATCTTGACTATGGTAGGCTTAGCTACAGAATATACTTCTGGCACAGGGGAGAAAATAATTAGCTCTTGGAGGAATTAAAAAGATAAGTATTTAGACTGAGTCTTGAAAACCAAATGTATTCATTCAGGTGGGGAAGTAAGGTGGTTGTCAACACTTAGAGAAGGAAATCACGGGGGAGCTTGAAGCAATAAGCAGGGCCAACTCCTGAAGAGTCTTTTATTCCGTGATAATGAATTTGTAGGTAATACTGAGTGATTAAGTTGTTTTAATATTTTACTCAGTGGAATAACAGCATCAGCTTTGTATTTTAAAAGATTTCTCACATAATCAGCAAATATATTCATTAAAAGTCAATGTATTTTACTGATCACCAGTGCAGGATGCTAGGGATACAACAGTGAATAAGGGAAAAGGACTATGATTGGAGAAAAACAGAACAAAAACAAAATTATTAGAGGCTCAGAAAATAGAGCACTCTAATATATTTTGTGTAAGATTTGGTTGCTTAAGAACATATTAAAAAGACAAATATTTTGATATTAATGGTGTCAGGCTTTAATTAGCATGATATGATGTAGATAATTGTGAGAAAATATCCTGAGATAAAGAAAAGTAATATTCCAAAGATGAAAATTTTAAAAAGGCACTAGAATTACTGCTTACTGAAGACCCAGTGGCAAGAACCTTTGAATGCAGATATCCAGTAGGAACTAAAACAATCCTTGCAATATTCTTTTTTTTTTAAATGCCAATCCTCTGTGGAACTGAGATATAGGATGGTATAGGCATAATTTTCAACCCAGTCTCATCACTATAGACTGCAGTAAGCTGAGTGAGAGTAGGTGCACATTCTTCTCAAAAGTTTCAAGGACATATGCAAGTGAATTTCGTGGTTATCTTAGATACACAATATCCCCAATGAATTCTCATTGAATCGAAAACCATCCTCTTCTTTCCATAGAACATTCTTTTAGAACTTAGTAGGGTAAAAGATGCCCTGATGTTGAATGAGGACTGTTGATCATTAGTTAGGTAAGCCACAGAAATACCTCATGGCCTGTAACATATCAGGTCCTAATGTGAGTTGGATAGACACTAGGGGCTAGTTCACAGGTAGAAAAAACAAAACAAAAAAAATGACTATACATATTAGAAGTTATGAATTTCAATAGTAACAGAAGTTACATAGATACACTCTAGATGTTAGGAAACAGGTTGTAAAGCAAAGATTGTAGAATAAACATATAGTGAATCTCAAGAATATGCAAACATTCAAGAATCAGGTAAAATTAATAGCAAATGTTTATATGATGTTCATAATTATTCCAGCCATTGTTCCATATGTTCTACAGATATTTAGTCATTTAAGCCTTACAATAATCTTATGAATTTGATAATTCTGATGTCCCAGTTTTACAGATAAGGAAACAGGTCCCCAGAGATCAAATATCCTGCCAAAGATGCCATTGAAAGCCAGTGAAACAGCTGTCCGACACCAGAGCCTATACTCTTTACCTGACCAAATGTTGGCTACTTACTGGCAGTTCCACAGGAGAGAAAGTTTATCATTTCAAGAAGCAAAACTGGCATAGGAAAGGCATGGAGAAGATAATAAAAGGAGAGAACAAGTATTTAATTTGTTGTAGAGCATATTTTATATTAATAGGTGTACTTCCACAGACAACTAACACTCCATCATATAGTTAATATGTACCAGAAAAAATCATGCTTACTTACAACCAGCATCAAAGATATCACAAATCTGATTAAAGTTGAATAGCAACAACCTTAAATGCCATCTGTTATCTATATTTTGTATCTCTACTTTTAGCCAATGAAACTGTTTTGTCTTGTAATAAAGGGTTTAGCTTTTTTTCTTTCTTTTTATGCCATTGGGAATAAATTTGGTCTAATAGGTCTTTATCCAGTTCTGATAAGAAAAATAAACTAAACTGGACAAAAAAAAATAAACAGCTGTGAAAATTAAATGTGTCAGCCAACTAAAATTTTCATCAGACCATTTATAAAATGTTTTTTTTTCTTTACCTCAAAACATATACATCTGTTGCTGGAGGTGAAAATTAATAAAATTTTGTTTTTTAAATTTAATTAAGTAGAGTATTATTACACATATTTAGAGAACCGGAGCCTGTTCCATCACTTAAAAACTTTAAGAGAAGATTTCAAAACATTTAACCCATTAAAAGTGGTATTTTAGCTTTATGCCAAATGGCTTGGTATGATGTATTTCTAGATTTAAAATGCAAAGGTAAGAAAAGTATGATCATTGCTTATTTATAATTAGATTATTTAAGTTTCATCTACCTTCAAAATTTGTTCCCAAGAAAAATTATCTAGTTTCCTGCATTTACAGTGTTTACAAGGGTTTTAAAGCCCTGCTCTATATTACCTAGAATGACATGAATTAAGTAAAACCAGTCAAAGGGTTTCTTTTTTTCAGAACTGTATTAAATGACTTTTATGCTGCATATAGAACTAGTAAATGGATAGCAGTAAAATTTAAATTAAATTATCTTTCATAATAAATAACATTTTCTTATAAAATAGTAAAAAAAAAAGTGTGAAGGGCATTCTGAACCTGATAGATTAAAAGTTATTGGTTTCCAGTGTTATCAATATTCACAGTCTTAAACAAACAAATAGTTCTTAAAAATAAGAATTAATGAAACTAGAAGAGGATGACCAGTTGATTTCTTTATGCTCTATTTCCACCAAGAACCAGAAAAGCCATATGAATTTTAATCCATTGTTTTACATTTTAATATATGCTATTTGCATTAGTGTTCATTTTGATGAATGGGGTCTATTTTATTTCTATATTCATTCAAACAATTTAGTGTTTAGGGGCTAAAAGAAATCCCAAACACAATTTAAAACAAACCAAAAAGAATCTAAAACATTAGCTACAAAATATTTTCAGGTTAAATGGACATTAATGTATAGATTAAATCATTTGCTCTGTGTAATAGAAATATATCTATTAAATAGAATCAATAAAATGCACATGTATATTTTTAAAAGTAGGAAACATCACTCTATAGCTGAAGTCATGTAGCATTCTTAAAATGGTTTATTTTCAAACAAGTTAGTAATGATTTTGAATTTTCAAAATATTTTGGCTACCTTCACCATGCATTTTACATGTTATCTTGGTTTAACAACCATCTCAAAAAAAAATCCATATATCCACATTGTTGAAAGAGCCTATTTGGAGAGGGGGAAAGAGAAAAGGAATTGTAGTAGCCAATGCCAAGATGGCCCTCAAAGATCCCCTCCTCCTGATACTCACACCCTTTTGTAATCTCCATCCTTTGAGTGTGGGTAGGCCTAGAAACTTATTTCTAGGCAAAATAATACAACAGACATAATAGGATCCTACTTCTGTGAATTGGTTAAAAGAGATTTTAACCCATTTTGTTAGTAGATACTCTATTTTGCTGTTACCAAGGTAGAGAGATCCACATGGCAAGAAACTGAGGGTGGGCCCCCAGCCAAAGACCCTCAGTCCAGCAACCCAAAAGAAACTGAATCCTCCCAACAGCCATGGAAGTAAGCTTGAAAGTGAGCCCTTTCCAACTGAGTCTTCAGATAAAACCCCAGTTTTAGCTGACACCTTCATTGCAGTCTTGTGAGAGACTGGAGGAAGGCACAGCCCAGCCATGCCCAGACTCTACCCACATAATCTGTGAGATAATAAATATGCATTGTTTTAAGCCACTAAGTTTGTGAAAATGTGTTACAGCACAATAGATAATAAATAAAGAAAAGATATTTGAAATACTCATTAGTTAAAAAAGACTTAACTTCACAATTTTTCTTGAGGCAAAGAAAAAAATCATCTCCAACTAAACCTCTGCAATGTGTCTCTATAATATTCACATTCTGATTCTACAACAGCAGGATTTTTTCAGTTTTTCACTTACTAATTATATTGTACCTCCAATATTTAGCAATTTTAAAGTATTTCCAACTTTATGTAAGATAAAATATTCAGCTTCTTTTTATTTTTTTAAAGGAAATAATTACCTTTTTTTTTTTTTAGAGATGGGGTCTCACTATATTGGCCAGGTTGGTCTTGAATTCCTGGCCTCAGGCAATCCTCCTCCCTTGGCTTCCCAAAGAGCTAGGATTACAGGTGTGAGCCACTGCACCCGGCCCCTGATCTTCCTTGAAGGGTTATTATTTTTATTTTTGTTAAATTTTGCTTTGGTATACTTCTAACTATAGTTTTCTAAGTTTCTCTCTTTCCCTTTATATGTATGTTTGTCTATAAACGCATATACCATTTCTGTCTCTATATATGTGAAATTTTATCAACTTTATTACTATTTAGGGTTAGAATAATTAAAAATATGGTGAAAGCCAGAAGAAAAATATTGAAATAAAAGTGTTCATGTAATAAAATAATGAAATAAATGGAAAGAGACTCAGAGTTTAGTTATACAATGAAGAAAATACTAGATTCATCACAGAATACAAGATCCCTACAAAAACAAAATTTTCTTTGTGAAAATTAGAAAATAACTATACAGAAAATGCAGAGAACTGCATCTTATGTAGGGGTACTAAATTATTTTTTAAAAGAGTCTCAATTGTGTAATATTAATAATCTTTTCCTAAACAAAACAACTATCAAATATTAAAACTGTATGCTTCTTCAATTTATATCTTAATTATATATTCATTTAAGGATATTAACTAAATATTTTTTCAAATTAAATAAATTCAATATATAGTGCATGCAAAGTAATTAGATCTATGAAAATGATGCTAAGAGAGAAATAAAAATGGATAAATTTTTTTTAAAGAAAGTCTGACTGGAGAGATGGTAAGAAAAAAGCAAAACCACAAAAATAAGTAAAGGTAAACACAAGCATAGGGTGGCATCTATATATGTATCTCACTTAGGAAACGGGAAGAGATAACAAAACAATAGAAACTCAATAAAAGTTCGGATTGTAATTAGCCATTCACTTGTTGGTTGAGGATATCTACAACCCTTTGAAAGGATCAGTTGATTAAACATGAGCTATCATACTTCAGCTGCTAAAATCCTTAATATGTCAGAGATTTTAATCAGAATGAATTCAGAATCTACTAAGAAGGAAATAATTTGAGCTATAGCAGCAGTGAACAAACAAAATAAACTGGGAAACTTGGGCCCCAATCTGACCACTCATTGAAGAAATCAGTTCATAATTATGAATGCTTATTGCTACATATGCCAATTAGCTTTAAAGACTAAGTTCTATAAGAAGTTGACCAGAATGTTTAGGTAACACAAAGTACGTATCATATTTTGTGCACTATAATTTCCTATCACAAATCTACGTGATATGCATCATAACTCATGAAGTAATTTTTTAAAAGATCATTGCTTAACATATTCCATATGGTGAATTATATTTTATTACATTAGGAATAGAAATGTATTTCCATTAAAGAAAATTCTAAGTAATGAAAGTGTGAAATTTTGAAATTTAGTAAGATGTTAAAATGAGAAACAGAGCCAAAGAATGCTCTAAATTGTAATAAAATGAGAAAGTAGATAAATATTAATAGATTGATAAACACATATATGATTTTTAGCCTCAAGTGATAATTATCTTATCTTGTGATAATTTTAATGTCATAGCAATATTTAAAAATAAATCAAAGAAAAATAAATATAAAATAAATTTGGGGAATTGTGCCAGGACATGAATGACAACAAATTCACTCAATTCCATCCTTTCTTTGGGGGAAAAAAGAGAAAGAGAGCAAGAGAATAAAATATTATGAAGAAATATTAGAGGCTGTTTGTCAATGATATGTTAGGCCAGATGCTCACAGGAATTTGCATTAAGCAAAGATCAGATGAAGCCTGGTGGCAGAATAAAGTTCCACGTGAAGGAAAAGAGGAAAAGAAGGGGAGAGAGATTCCAAGACTAAGAATTTGTTTCAGCCATCAAATATGATTTAAACATTGGGAACTTAATTTCAAGCATCATTTTGTCATGTTAAAGAGGGAAATAGAAACCATCCAAAAACGAAAAAAAAAGCATTAGACAAAACTCTTCCATTTATTATTTTAAAAATTATTAGAATTAGAAACTTAAATGCAATAAAATCATTTATTTACAAATAAAAACCAATATAATATTTAATGATGTCATACTAGAGGTATTTCCATTACAGGCTTAAAAAAGACAAGGTTTATGGCATAATCAAAATTATTAATATTTCCAGGAAGTTTAAATCAGAGAATAAGATAAGAGAAGGAAATAATTTTAGAAAGAGGACAAAAGTATAATACAGTGTAAGCTATATAACAGAGATAACAAGTACTCTGCAGCTATTTATTGAATAAATAAATGACTGTTTTCAGATAATATGATGGCCTATGTTGGTAGTTTTCCTATTTCATTTTCTGCTACTGTAACAGAATACCTGGAACTGAGTAATTTTTAAAGAATAAAGATTTATTTTGTACAGTTCTAGAGGCTGGGATATTCAAGAGCATAGTTCTGGCATCTGATGTGGGCCTTTGTGCTGTGTTATGACAGGGCAGATGGCAGGCAAGCCATGAGACATGGAGACGAAATTGTGCCAAACTCATCCATCTTATAAGGAACCCACTATAGTGATAATTAATTCACTCCCACAGTAAAGAGGGAGGGTGGATCTTACATGGTCTAATCCCACATTCATGAGGGTGGATCTTACATGGTCTAATCCCACATTCATGAGGGTGGATCTTACATGGTCTAATCCCACATTCATGAGGGTGGATCTTACATGGTCTAATCCCACATTCATGAGGGTGGATCTTACATGGTCTAGTCACTTCTTATAAGACCCACCTCTTAAAACTGTTACAATGACAGTTACATTTCAACGTGAGTTTTGGAGGAACATTCAAATGATAGTAGACATCTAAGAGAAAAAACTACTAGAAATAATAAGAATTAATGAGTTATCAAACAAATATTGTTTTATTCCGGAAACATTAGCTAGCCATGGCAGGGGGTGCTAGAAAGAGTGTATTAATGGTGAAAACCAAATGTGGAAACCTAAAAATAGATTTAATTAGAAACTTTTAAGATTTATTTGAAAACGCTCAAAAAATATAGTGACATTAAAAATTGAATAAAAAATATGTCCCTGAAAGATTAAATACTGCAAAGTTGGGTGTTCTCCATAAATTAAATTATAGAGACACCTTTTGGGTAAAAACAAAAATTGATTTTTCCTTCAATCTTGATTATTCTGTTTCATCTGCAAAAATAAATAAAATAAATTGTCAAATTTTAAAAAGACAACGAAATGGGCTTTTTTTATTAGAATTTAAATATGCTATGTAATTTCAATGATAATGGTAATAATAATTAATGGTATAATATGTGAACAAGGGCATACAGAATTATGACAGATGATAGAAAGCTCAGTAAACAAATTCTATATGAAAGAGACTTTAAAATGTAAAGTTAGGATTTCAAATCAGTGGGGAAGAAGACGCAGAGGATGGGTATTTTTTTGATGGTTTTAGGAAAATTTTGAGCTCCAGCAGATCATAATCCAAAATAAATATCAAAATCAACAAAGAAATATCCAAAATATTATGTAATTATTAAAAAATCCCTAGAACTTCTTATTACAATACAGTATTTTTTATATATAAATTAGAATCTTACACTTGAATTACTTGGAATCAGGCATATTATAGACTGGAGATATTTTTCAGTTCACAATGTAAGCAAGTACTCCCATTTAAGAAAATTGTTTTGGTGCAATAAAGAGTATATTACTACTCACCATGTAAACAAGTATTCTTAGTAGTTTTTTAAAGCCATTTTATGTAAAAAGTAGTAGCCCTGGCCAAACTCAGCAGTGGACTTAAAAACCAGTAGCACTATGGCTACTTTGACACTCTAGCCAGTGTGGCAAGCTGATTATTTCAAATATATTTACTGTCTATGGTTTATAAAGAATTCTAGAATGTAAATGTTTACTTTAGCAGTTTCATATATATTATATTTTAAATATAATAGTTTTAAATGTTGCTGCAATTATTTGATATAATAAAGACTAACTAAGAAACTATCTGTGAATTAGAGTTTAAATTGAAATGTGCTTTTACTTTAATTATAGAGTCTCTAAGTCAAAGACAACAAGTGGGTTTCACTGAGAAATGTGTAAAAATTTAAAAAAAAATTTAAAGTGTTGGACACATAAATCTCAATCTTTAAGTTGAGAACAGGAATCTTGTAAGTGTTCGCAGGAAAAAAAAAATCACTTCAGTAAAGATTTCAACATCTAACTCCCATAGAAGAGAATTTAAACATACACTATATTTCAAATGCAAATTATTCTTGTTATATGAGAAAGCCAAAATTTGCAAACTCTGATCTCAAAGGGTTATAAATTACTTCTGTAGTATTTGCAAAAGGAATATAATGCTTTAAGCTATATTTTAATTCTAGCATTATTATTATATGTTTTACTTGTGTTTAGAAGCTTTGACAAGTAGATATATGTTTAAAAGTGAAAATCAAAATTAGTCTACAGATACCAAGGAAAGAAAATCCATCCTAATAGCCTTCATTTCAAGTATCAAAAGATTTTCCAAGGTTGTTGCTAAAAAGCAAAGCAAGTATAAATAAGAAATAGTAAAAATAATTTGTCTACATGAGAAAAATAATTCATTCTAGTATAAGAACTAGCCCTTTCTTTTTACAGTGGAATGTTTATAGAACAGACAAAATAAATATGTATACTCTAAGCAAAGAGATGTGTCAGAATCACTTCTTCTGGCAGCATTAATTAATTCGAATATTTATAGTAGGTGTCAGACATATTTGTTGGTCGCTGTCAGAGAGGGAACAAAATGATTAACTCATAAGATTTAAGCTATCAAGAAGCTCAATTTGATGAAACAATCACAGAAGGATAAGGTGCCATAGAAAATGATTTTCTAGAGATGAACTTGAACCAAAATGTTTGTTATCGTTCATAATTGTTTTGTAATGTGTGCACATGTGGTGTGCACCTGGGGAGGGTGAGGAATAAGAATCGCTTGAACTCAGGAGGTAGAGGTTGCAGTGGGCTGAGATCATACCACTGCACTTCAGCCTGGGCAACCGAGTGAGACTCCATCTCAAGAAAAGAAAAAAAAGAAAGAAGGAAAGAAATATGCTAATGCATGTATGTTTCCATTTCCAATACATCAATGTCGCTTGGCTGCAAATTTTCAATGTAAACTTGATCACTGACAAAGAAAACTTCACAGGAAGTATTCACGCACAACAGTAAGTGTTGAACAAACAGACAGAAAAACTAATTACAAAAGAATGAACTAAGCATAGTGCAAAACTTGGCATAATCATAGAAACATAGCATCAGGTGATTTGAGGCAAGTTTACAATGATGTGAAACAGACTACACAAAATTTGCAGTAAATGAAGTAAATGCCAAGAAAAGAAGGTACAAAGATGAGATAAAGGAGGTGTCATTATGATAAACTGCTCATGTACAAAATCAGAATCTAGGGGTGATTATTTCAGCATTTTCAAAGCAATCTTCATTCCTGGAAAATGATGAGCCAGCCATAATTTTAGCAAATTCACAGACTCATACTACAGACTTAATTTCCAAATTTTACTTTTCTTTTGACTACTTTGACTTTGTGCCTCGATGGAGACTTGCAGGGGAAATCATCGGGAAGTAGCGGAGAAACTTTGATGTGTAGGTTGATTAACTTGGGGTTTGTCTGATAACCATGAAAACTGAGGTTCAGTTTCCTTACCTATATACTACTATTTTATTCCTTGGTTATGATTAAATTTTAAGCAGATAATATACATAAAATATGTATCTTGGTCCCTGTGACATATAGAAACTTAATTCATTCAATAAATGCAGATTAAGTGTTTACTATGTCTTAGGCATCATGATAGGTATTGAGGTACTGTGACAAACAGAGATATAATTTCTGAGTGATTGGACATTATAATCTTTCTGGGAAAAGGGACAACTAAGAAGCATAATTACAGAGTGGTTACTATCATGATAGGGAATGTACAAAATGCTATTGAAGAACACAAAACTTATTACCAATGCATGGCCCATCTTGGGTACTTACTATATGTCAGCCACTGTTTCCACATGCTTTTCATGACTTAAATAGTATAATCCTCAGGAAAAAAAAAACACATGAAGTAAGTATCTCATCTCCAATTTACAGATGAAGGAGTGAGGTACAGAGATGTTTCACAACTTTCTCAAGATGGCACAGCTTTTAAATTGCAAAGTAGGGGTTAAGAATAATCTGTGCTCTTAATCGCTAGCTAACCTGTCTCTTCACTGATGGAATGACAAATTTAGACCAGGAAAGGAGCTTCCTGGAGAAACCTTAAGGACAGGTAGTATCAGGCCAAGCAAAAGTGGGAGGTGAAAATATGATCCAGAAAGTACATGAGAGTAAAAACTGACTTCATTTCTAATATTAAAACATACCTGTGATTCCAAGTTCTAGATATAAAGATTACTTATATTGTTTGATTGGGTTTGGAAGATATTTTATATTCTGGAAGCAGATGGCTACTTTATGGGGGTATAAAATATTGTGAGTTATTATTGTGTTACCTTTTATTGCTGTTTAAGGAAAATGTTTATTAGAAAATTTGTTTTTTTTTTTAGCAACATTACTTTAAATATAAAATGTACTTGTGATTCCAAAAATATATCTGGAAAGTTTGTGAAATGGGACTAGGTGCTCTCTGCAATTTCAGCTTGACTGCCTCAGGTTCAGAATCAGTTCAGATATTATTTTGAACCCAGACCTGAAAGTGTCAATGACAGTTATTTTGGGGATGACAGCAGTCCTTGACTAATGAAGACTTACAGGAATAAATAAGATCTACCTAACTTTTTACTTACTTCACATTCTGCCATGAATCTATACTTGTGAAAGTATGTCAAAGCATCCAACTGCAAACTTAATCAGAATATAGCTATAATGATAAAAAAAAATAAATTTGTGATTTTCCTTCTATATTTTAATTGTAAATTAAAAATTTAGGCACATTTCCAAGACTGAGCTTATATATTGGGTATCCTCTTCAGAATAATGTTCATAATTGGAACATTTCCTTTTTTGTAAATCAAGTTTGATGCCTCTTTGGGGCAAAAAAGTTAGGTGTGTATTATTTGTGGATGAGGAAATAAGGTACATATCATCAAATACATATTATATCAGGTAATAAATAAAAATTATTTTCAGATTTTCTACTTGAAAAATGAACCAGTATAGAACCAGTGTAGAGAAAGGGGAAGAAAATGAACTAAATTGAAGACTTATTTCATTTTTATTCTCTCACTTCATTACAAAGTAAATATATAAATGAACTTGGATGAATTACTAGAATTATTAGAATACAAAATAATCACTTTGGAAAGAAAATGAACATTATTTTTATTTGTGTAGGAACAAGAAAGAGTATAAGTATGAAAATACAGTTAAATATGTTTAAATGTTGAGACCTGAGGCTTCTATCATTCTGATTTTATGAGAGTAGGACTCAGACTTGGGCAGGTATGATTGGAGGAATAAAAGAATTTGGCAAAGATTCAGTGGAGGACATAAACTAAATTGAAATATCAATGAAATAACTGATTCATAACTAAAGCAAGAATGAAATGAGAGAATATGGCCTCACAAACTCTAACGAACTGACAGAGAACACTTGAAGCAGCTATCACGTAGCCTGCCCAGGTTACAATTCTGAATTCACCACCTCATGGATGTGCTGTCTTGGACAGGCTGCTCTAACTCTTTGAACCTCAGTTTCTTCTTCTACTAAATGAATAGGTCTGTTTTAAGTACTAATGCCTAGTATATGACTGACACTCATTAAATTGTAGTTCTTATGATGATGATTATTATTCATAAAGAAAAGTAGGAGAAACTTTAGAGACTAGAAATTAGCTTATTTAACCTTATCACTTCCAGTAAGAGTAATTGAATTTCATAAATATTTTGAGATTTGCTTAAAGGTACATAGATATTTAGGTGCAACTCCAAATCAAAAGCCAAAAAAAAATTTAAAAATTTATCAGTATTATAAATAAAACCATAGACAGACAAAACTAGCACTACAAAGAAAAGCATCAGGAATTTAATTTCTTTCCATTTATTTATCCTCATTGAAATAAATTATTATTGAGTTTAAACTCAATAGTATGCATACAACGTGCATACTCTGTTTAAACTACTTTGTGGGGAATGGGAAAATCAGAGCTATAAAATATTATCCCAACATAGATCAATATTATACAGTAAGTTAAGTGGGAATTTAGAAATAATGAACAATTAAAAATAAAACAAGAAAGAGAACCATGAATAATTCAACTTTTAAAATAATAAATACTGATATATTTGTAGTAGTTTTATATACAATCTCTACGGACTGTAAGAAATAGATAATTTTGAAACAGGATAGAAATAAAACTGTAGAATAGTTTATACCATGAATGGATGAAAGCTAAGTCTCTAATCATGCAATTATTAATTGCTCAATTAATTGGGAATATGTCAAATTTCGTATTCATTGACTCCATAGAAATTCGCTATTTTGAACATAATGAATTGCTTATTGATAATACTAAGATTTTAAATATGGTCATTTCTATCTTACAATGGGAATATGGGAATTTAAAACAAATACTACATTTAACTTACAGCTCTTTTCTTTTACCAGTACTACAGTATCTTACTAGCAAAATAAAAGCTAATTTTAAACTTTCTAAATCTTATGTAAATAGCATGGAATTAATGCTGTGAAGGCCAAGGAGTAAATATCAAAAATAAGCACAGGTAATTTTGAATTTCACATATTTCTTTTTCCGTTAATCCTAGTTTCACAAATAGATGCTATTAACATGTATAAATCTATTCCTAAAACTAGTAGAAAGCATTTATATGAAAAAGTTTCCTGAGACAGGAGAATCGCTTGAACCTGGGAGATGGAGGTTGCAGTGAGCCAAGATCGCAACATTGCACTCCAGCCTGGGCAACAAGAGGGAAACTCCTTCTCAGAAAAAAAAAAAAAAAAAGTTTCTAACAATAAACATCAATGCAGCCTCTTTGAAATCTCCACTGAAAACATCCATGAAAATTCCAAAAAAAAAAAAGGTGAAAACTCACACTTATATGTTAATCTTAACATATAACTTGGAAGATGGAAAGAATTTGAGTGGAAAGAAGCTAAGCAAACATTGCAATGACTCTGCAGGCTACATTGCCTAACCATCCATCATATAGACCAGTGTATGTAAGGCTGTTGGCGGCAGCTAGAGTTCACATTGTTGAAGTACAACAGGGATTGTTGGGGGTGAGAGAAAATTTAGGAGTAATTCATTACATTCTCCGATTTAAGTCCTCATAAGCAATGTTCTTGGTTCTGATAGAGACAGGAAAGGTGGTAGCACATAGTTTGTGTTGATACTATGCTATATACTCCATTGGTTCAGAGTACCAGATATTAGGATATGGGACAGAAGATGATCCTACATGAGTCTAAGTACTCACAGAATGGAGACATGTATACTTATCAGACACTAGAAAGGGAATTAATAGCTGTGCATATTCGTTTTTGTCAGCAGTATATCTGAGGGAGTTCACCCAACATGCATAATAAACACAGCTAAAGACAATTCACTCTCTTCTTTTATGTATCTACAGCTGGATTCAGATAGAGCTCACCTAATAATAAATGCTAAAAGATAAAATTAATAATAAAATAATTATTTAAGATATCTCAACACTAAGAGCATGCATGGCACATTATTTTGAAGACTCAAGGGGTAAATATGATCTCTGAAATATATATAACAGGAATGAAGAGGAAATTTTAGAATCTTATGTTTCCCAATCTCAATACCACCTAAAAATATCAGCAAAAAGCTAGAAGAAGGAAACAGCTTGAGAAGAAATGAAAATATGGTAAGATATAAGCACATTAATATAGTTAAATAAAAAGAAAGGTAATCAGATAATTTGAGCAAGAAAGAAACAGCAACATTTAAATATAAACTGGTGACTATTGAGAAAATAATTAACTTTAGTTAAGTATTATAAATGAAAGGATCAAGAGCCTGCCCAATCCTGCAGAAAAAGCATAAAGTTAAGATAGTGTTGTGGGGCTCTCTTTTTTAGTAAAAGGATGTGTAACAAAGCTAGAGTAATTAAAATTTTGAAAAAGACTAATATTGGGGCAAGAACAAAGAGATCAATAAAATTGAAGGATGAGTTAACCGAGCAGATGAGAAGACGATTTATACAAGGATCAGACATTCATGATAAAGCGGTATGACAAATTAGTGATTAAACAAAAAAAGAAAGTTGTTTAGAAGACGTTACTCATGTAACTAGCACCATAGGAGAAAAGTTAAATTGGATTCTAATCTTACACCATGTATAAGGGTAAATTCCAAATGAATGAAAGTCCTAAATATAAGGGGAAAATTATAAAGTAAATAGTAAAAACTGCAGGATAGCATTTTCATCACATTTTAACAGGTAAAAGTTCCCAAGAAAGACCCAAAAAAGCGCAAATATAGAACAAAAATCATTTGGATATAACTATATTAAAGTTTTGTTTTATATCAGTTTGTTTTTATGTTTTAAACATAAAAAAACACTGTGTCTCTTCAGAGAAAATGAAATTATCTTCAAAATTCTGTGGAAAAATGATTTCTGAACTAAAATTCTATAGTCAAAGTATTACTCAAGTGAGGAAAGAATAAAGACATTGTCAGATATCCATGATGTGGCAGAGATAACACTATGCATTCAGTAAATACATTCATTTTTCTCTAGGCACATAGGAAATCTGTATCTCCCATTTCTCCTTGCAGTTGAGTAAGGCTAGGTGATTGACTTCCGGCCAATAGAATGTGCTGGCAATTATGTACATGTCACTTCTCTGTCTAAATATGAAATCCGTATTTAAAAAAAAATCAAAATAAAAATGTCCTTATGTGATCAGCCAAACCCTCTCTTCCCGCTCAGTAGTGGCTTTGGAGGTGATGTGCTGAAGGTTTCAGTGTCATAGATAGGGGGAGCTTAAGTCTCCTAATGACTGGAACAGAGCCCTAAAGTCCCCTAATCCCCTCTTGAGTTAGACTACAGCAGTCTAATATTTCATTAATTAAAACAATTAAATTTCATTTTAATGTTTAAGACTTAGAGATGTGTTATTACACAGTAGCCTTGCCTACTCTAATAAAAAATTTATAAAAAGTTTTGCCTCTCTTTGCAGTCTTTATCAGGAAACTATATAAGAAACCATATAAAAATCAAAGAAAGATTGACCACATCAAAGTAAAACACAACATGGGGTTCTGAAAAAAGAATATCAAAGATATCGAGAAGGTAAAGTGAATTTTTTAGAATAATAAAAATCCCAGAAGGTTTTAGGAATGGTACATGATATGGTTTGGATTTGTGTCCCCTCCCAAATCTCATGTCGAATTGTAATACCCAATGTTGGAAGAGGGGACTGGTAAGAGGTGATTGATTGGGTCATGAGGAAAGATTTCCCCCTTGCTGTTCTCGTAGAAGTGAGTGAGTTCTCATGTGATATGGTTGTTTAAAAGTGACATCAGCCGGGCACAGTGGCTCAAGCCTGTAATCCCAGCACTTTGGGAGGCCAAGGCGGGTGGATCACGAGGTCAGGAGATCGAGGCCATCCTGGCTAACACGGTGAAACCCCACCTCTACTAAAAATACAAAAAATTGAGCAGGGCATGGTGGCGGACACCTGTAGTCCCAGCTACTCGGGAGGCTGAGGCAGGAGAATGGCGTGAACCCAGGAGGCGGAGCTTGCAGTGAGCCGAGATCGCACCACTGCACTCCAGCCTGGGCGACAGAGCGAGACTCCGTCTCAAAGGAAAAAAAAAAAAAAAAAAAAGGTGTGTGGCACCTTCCCCTTCTCTCTCTTCCTCCTGTTCCGGCCACGTAAGACATGCCTGCTTCCCCCTTTGCCTTCCACCACAATTTTAAGTCTCCAGAGGCCTCCTCAGCCATGCTTCCTGTGCAGCCTGCGGCACCATAAGCCAACTAAACCTCTTTTCTTTATAAATTACCCCATCTCAGGTATTTCTTTTTAGCTATCTAAGAACAGACCAATACAGCTTATCTAAAAAAAATTAATTTATTCATTAATTTAATAAATATATATACTGATTTCCTACTATATACCAAGTAATATTCTAGAAGCTGGTGTGTAGCACTGAACACAAGAGAATGAGGCCTATGGAAAACACATATTGTCTAAATTCTAGAAATGATGTTATAATACATTATAGAAACTATAATGAAACTAGATTAAATATATTTTTACTTAATATGTAAACATTAAATATATGTATAATGCATAGAAAGTGCAAGGGCTAGAAGTGTTTGATATCACTGTATTATTTCATAGGGTTTAGAAAAATATTTGTTGCTTTAAATAAAAACAATTTAAGCCCAGTAAAAGACAATGAAAGTTGACCACAGTGTTGGAGCAACGAAAGGAAGCTGTGGGGGGCTAAATCAACTGAAGAACACAGATCAGTAATGAGAAGGGAAACAAATAGGTGAAGTATTTATTAGCCAGTTTCCAACCTGACCCACACATTTACTACTTTTAGAAGGGACTACTCTACTTTACTCAAAAGCATTATTTGTCTTCCTAACATACACTATTAACTTTCTCTTGCATACATTTTTCTGCATGATTTCCGTTCTCAAGCTGAATCATTAACTTTTAGAAATAACTCCTAGCAGAATATTTGGTTATCTTGCATATGGCCCTGTGTTTATTCCAAAATATTCCAAATAAAAAATAAAGCAAAATGCTCTGTAAATGCTAATTTATGATAATAAAATAGTAAACTAACTACAGTTGTTACCCACAAGTTGTGAATTTTGAGGTGAAATGAGTTGGTTACCAATCTCCAGTGGTAACAATTGATTAAACTATTTTTATGTAAATATATACATATTATAACATATTTCCTATAGGTTATTATTTGTTTTGTTTGGGGGAAAAACACTGCATATTCTAATCCAACAACCTCAAATTAATCCAAATGTATACAGTTTCAACTTCAACCAATTGAATCTGTAGGTTCCCAATAGTAAAACTGCATAAATAACTTTGGTCAAGATTCCAAAATACTCTGAGTATGTAATTCAATTTCAATGCTTATAACATAAAGAAACAGACACCTTTTCCTGTTATATTTCAAGGGACCAAGAAGTCATAGCCATAATACTTAGAAACTTAGACATCTTCTTTTTTTATACTCATCACCTATAAATATATTTAAAACTATTTGCCAGCTTTCACAAATATGTTCATACTGAATACCTTCAAACTAGATCATCAATGAAATTGTTTGATTGCTGGATTCATGATTTAAAATGAAAGTTTGCATCTCTTTAGGAAAATGATATCTAGGGCTATATCATCCACTTCCAATGATAACATGTGCTCATTTATCCCCAATTCCCCTGGATGGAACAGCTGTTTAATTTTATAAATTGAGCACACTTCAAAAAATTGTGATTACGTTCAAAGGCAGCATAAGATACTCCCCAAAGTTACATGCTGAATATGGAAATCACTAATAGAGTCCAAGGAACACTTAGCACACTTATGCTGGATAAGCCACAATGTGTTCTCCAAGTCTTCTTTCAACAGCTGCATCTGTCTGCTATAATATGGAGGAAAATTACAAACCCAGTTAAAGAAATTAGTAAAGAGAGCTTCAAAAATTCACTATGATCATCATAATATTATAATTTTGCAGTATAGGGTATAGTTTTACTTTTTATTTGATCACATTTTAGTGAGAAGGATCATTTTTATATTCAGAAAAATCAATAATCTTCTTTTAGTTTAAAAACTGCTATTTAAAATATTTCACTATATAAGACGAGCTTCTGAATAGAGGAAGCATAAAATTATTTCCTTGATTATTCTGTCTTTACACATACATACTTATTTACAGAATTTAATTAATTTGTAGTATCAGAAATAAGTTTGCATTTTTCATTTCAGATGCCATAGGTACTTTTAGTCAAACAAATATTACAAATCATGCAAAGGAATCTATAATATATTAAATGGTTCTATTTTTCCTTCTTTATAGCTATAAATGACTGATTCTGTCTCAGATTCTCTATGCTCATTACATAGCTACAGTACTAGCTTGGAATAGCAGACATTATACAGTATAGACATTATACAGTACTAGCTTGGAATAGCAGACATTTTTTAAGTATAATGAGTTCAATTCTTCACTGAAAGTTGGATTTTTCATTCATTCTTCTATTGTTTTTTTTTTTTTTTTCTTTTTGAGACAGAGTCTCGCTCTGTTGCCCAGGTTGGAGTGCAGTGGCGCGATCTCGGCTCACTGTAAGCTCCGCCTCCCGGGTTCACGCCATTCTCCCGCCTCAGCCTCCCGAGTAGCTGGGACTACAGGCGCCCGCCACCACGCCCAGCTAATTTTTTGTATTTTTAGTAGAGATGGGGTTTCACCGTGTTAGCCAGGATGGTCTCGATCTCCTGACCTCGTGATCTACCCGCCTCGGCCTCCCAAAGTGCTGGGATTACAGGCATGAGTCACCGCGCCTGGACTTTTTTACTTTTATTTATTTATTTATTTATTTATTTATTTATTTATTTTGAGATGGAGTCTTGCTCTCTAGCCCAGGCTGGAGTGCAGTGGCGTGATATCTGCTCACTGCAACCTCCGCCTCCTGTGTTCAAGCAATTCTCCTGCCTCAGCCTTCCAAGTAGCTGGGACTACAGGCATGTGCCACCGCACCCGGCTAATTTTTTTTGTTTGTTTTGTTTTGTTTTTGTATTTTTAGTAGAGACGGGGTTTCACCGTGTTTATCCGGCTGGTCTCGAACTCCTAACCTCAAATGATCCACCTGCCTCAGCGTCACAAAGTACAGGGATTACAGGCATGAGCCGTCGTGCCGAAGCTATTGCATTTTCTAGTTGAAATTTCCTCCCCTACTCCTGCAGTCCTAATCTACAAATCAGTAATTCACCAATGAGGTAGCAGCCAGTAAGTGACAATTACAGTATAGGTTTCAGGTGTTAGCAAGGGAGCGGGCGTATTCAGTACTACCGGACTCTTTTGGAGGATGTTAACTCCAGTCTTTGCTGAGTGACAAAGGCATTATTACGGTCTTGTTTTTCAAAAAGATGAATTAACTTCAAATATTTATACATTATTAATCACCATACTGGTTGGGACTAGTTAAGAATCAACTTACAGTAGTGAACACCTGTTGAGCTAATATTTCTTCCAGGGCACATCAATATAATGCTCATTCATGACACTTAAACAATTGAAGAAGTCTCTCTAGAAATTTTTGCCAACTTGTGGAGTATGTTGAAAAATGTAAAAAAAAAAAAAAAAGAAAAGAAAAGAAAAAAAGAAAAAAAAGAAAGAAAAAGGACAATCTACACATTTTTTCCTGCCATTGTTTCTTGTTTCTTTCTCTTTCTCCCTGAATAAAATACAAAATACAAACTTTTATCAATTCCCCTAATTTCAATGTGTCTAGGGTATTTTAAAAATAGAGTCAGTGGTTTAGTAGAATTAATACAGAGAGTGATCATGTAAATCTCAATGGTTATGTTATACCTTCCCAGTCACTCTAGAACTGCGCTGTATAATATGGTAGCCACAAACCACACTGAGTTATTTAAATGAAACTAAATATTTAGGTTCTCAGTAAAAATAGCCACTATTCCAGTACTCAATGGCTACTAATCACTAGTGGGTTATTGTATTGAATAGCATAAATAGAACATGCTTTGAAGTTTTAGGCATCAATTTAAAAATGCCTCAAAACAAAAAATAATTTTGAAGAAAACACATTTACTTTATGATCATGATAAATACATAATCTGATATTGTAACACAATTCTATTTTAAATTCTACATTTTAAAAAAAAGTTGCACATTTTAAAGAGGGTAGCACATTCTTGAAAGTGTTAGCACTTTAGCAGAATATTCAGACATGGAAAAGAGTTTATACTTTGTGAAACTGGAATCAGAAAAAAAAATGCTAATCAAACAATGCTGCGTCTAGGATTAGAATACTAGAATACAACTTTTGACAGGCTCAGCTCCAGTCAGAAATTTACTACTATATTGAACATCCCAAGGAACTAAGCAATATCAATGCTTTCTTAGTAAATGTTTATTTCTAATTATTAAACAAATTCTTGCAAAAAACATTTCAAATTTTTCAAGGAATTCCAAGGGTATTCTACAGATTTTTTTTAGGTGAATTAGGCTGTACTTTCTCCTCACATCCTTGTTGGTCTTCATAGGCGATCTCTTGGGGCATTTGAAAATATAGAG
This sequence comes from Homo sapiens, assembly GCF_000001405.40. NCBI lineage: Eukaryota > Metazoa > Chordata > Mammalia > Primates > Hominidae > Homo > Homo sapiens. The sequence goes on along the minus strand of NC_000011.10, from coordinate 99,461,406 downwards.
AAAAATATTTATTTTAGTTATAAGTGAATGACAACATTGATGTTTAGTAGGAGAAAACCAGAAACGACAAACCTACGGCAGTTCTTACCTGCATAAGAAAGAATTATCCTGCCAAAATGTCAGTAGCACATCAAAAACATACACCTTGACAATTGCCTAGAATTTGCCCTTCTGTTTCTACCTACTTATACCTTCCCCGAATCCCAGTCAACTACTGATCTGCTTTCTGTTACTATATATCATCTACATTTTAAAATAATTTTTATAAATAAAGCCAACAATATGTCCACTTTTTCTTGGTTTATTTTACTCAGATAATTATTAAGATTCATATATGTTTTGAGGGCATCAACTTTATTGCTGAGTAATATTCTGTTGTGTGGATACAATTTATTTACCCATTCACCTGTTGATGAGCTTTTAGGTGTTTTCCAATTTTTGGCCTTTACAAATAAACTTGTTATAATGAATAATTTTCAACAAATCTTCATATGGGCATTTTAAAGATTTTTTCTTGAATGAAGACTTATGATTGGAATGGATGGATCGTTTGGGAGGTATATGTATTTTACTATGTAAGAAATTGATAACGTGATTCCAAAGTGACTATATCACTTTAAACTCTCACTAGCAAGGTACGAGAATTCGACTTTTCCCTCTTTCAGGATTCACTGTTTCAAGTTTCCTGATTTTCAGTATCTGAAAATCACTGGTTCTTATATTCGTAAAGTTTTTAAAAATCGCTTTAGGCAGGAGGGTAAGTCCAGTCAGTTAATACGTGTTGGCCAGAGGATGTCTTTTACTTTACCTTCTAATTCTTCTTTCTCAATATCTTAAGCTTCACAAGATGTATCTAATTTCCTGATTTAAAGTTTAAACTTTGTAAAAAAATGAATTATTCCTTGTAGTATTCCTTATGTGTTTGTTTACTGCAATATTTCTGATATTTAAAGAGAGTAAATATGTCTTTCCTGAAAATAATGGAAAAATACAATGTTTGGACACATAAAACAAAGTTAACAGTACTTCTTAACTCATGAGAAATGTGCTTTCTACTACAATGTATCTATTTTACTGGAAAATTATTTCTTAAATAATTTCTTAAATAATTAATATTTCTTAAATATTTCTTAAATAATTTCTTAAATATTTCTTTAAAAATTTCTATTTAAGAGATAATTTCTATTTAAGAAATAATTTTTAAATAATTTCTATTGCTTTACATTAAAAGTTTTATATTTTTTTCTGATGTTTGCATGTCCTGGTTTAGCACGACATTCTTTATTTGGAAGACACCCGCATTCCATCTATTTTTAAGCTCTAGTCCTCCATGTCCAACTATCTAATGCATATTTCTATGTTGACCCACTAATATCACTTCATACAGAACAAAACTAAATCACCCAGTTTTTTTTCCTTTAAAATAATCTCTGCTCCTAATTTCCATGTGTCTAGTAATACTAGCTCCTTCTATTTTTGTTATGACTTAAGGCATATTTGAGCCTATGTCTCACTCCAGATATCTCATTCTTTTACTTCTTTAATTGCCCTTCTCACTTCTCCAAAAGATTTAAGCCCTTTTGTTACCAGTTCTCATGACAACTAGTATTAATATTTCTCTCATAAGACACATTGCCATTGTAAATATATGCACATATATATTTCATTGCTTTCTTATCCACCAGACCTTAAGCTTCATTAGGTTACAGAGGTGTCTTGTTCGTTGCTCTGTGCAAAGGCAGTGACCAGCACATAATTAAAATAGAAAAAAATATATTCCTGAAGTCTTGAGTTCATATCATTTCATGCTTTATTTTGTAACACCCACTGAATCAAAACTGTCCTTTTTATTCCTTGCATGCAGCATAGTTCATGCTAGTCTCAGTTAAAGATATACTCACTTCCTCCAGACTCTTCCATTGTAATGGCATATTCTAATAATGTTAATGCTCATAAAATGCCATTTCTATCATATTAGTCTTACTACTTAAAAAATTTCAAATGTTTCCAAATATTTAGGGAAGAGAGTCACTATTCATTCAACTTAAATCCAAAGCTCCATATCTGGTCTCATTTTGACTTCTCAATAATACCTAGAAAAAAATTCATTTTCCTCACTCCCCACTATTAATTTTCATGTTGGGCAATTTTATGTCCTTCATAGTCCTCAAACTTAATTGTTTCCATCTTCTTTGCCATCAGCTCATTTCAAGAAACTATCATTTCTTTCTTTTTCACCCCAAGCACCTGCTAAAAGATCTTCCTGGTATCACATATTCCCCTGGGATATATTTTCCTTATTGCCCCAAGAAGGTCTTAAAAAGACAAAAACAAAATAACTAACTCTGTCAAAAACATTTTAGTAGTTTACCACTGTCCACAGGTAAGTCTGTATTTCATGGCCTAACTTACAAAGCTGACTTCGTTTGTTTCCAAACAGCTCTCTAGGTTCATTATTCAACGCCCTCTGTCTTACACACTCTACTTCAGATGGCACAAAACTTCTTGCAATTCCTTCTTACAGTACATAAGGTTCTTGCTCATCTACTAGACCTCCAAGGCAATCACTGCTGTCTTGAGAATTACTCTTCCTCCTAATTCAAACTTTATTTGCTCAGTTCCCCAGACTTCAGGTTTTTCCTTCACTAACATTCTCTTGAAATGACTCACTATACCAAGGCTATATGGTTCCATAGTATGTTCTTCTTATGGGCTTCAAACTCAAGTATGGGCATTCGCTTGGGTTCAGAAAGGCATTTCAAGGACTTTATGTATTGGCACGAATAGCTTTAAGGAAATCGGTTTTCAGAGCATCAGTGGACAGTTATTTTTTCCTAAAATTAGTCTATATGATAACAAATCCATAATAGATATATAGATTTTTCCTTTACCGTTTCCCAATTCCCAATTAACTTTCTCTTACAAATATTGTTTTTATATTTTATAGAAGAAATGCATTACCTCTCAACATCTTGAGTCTTTTTATAGCGCAATTCTCATGTGTGAGCCCTGAGTGTAATCTGATTGATTACTAAAAATGACTTTTGATGATAAATCTCTATCAAATTTTAACATGTAACACTGAAGGATTTCAAAAAGTTAAGTGGCATTGCTATTTTAAAACACTTTTTATGTTCACTTACTTATTTGTGTAAATAATTTTTCTCAGCACTCACATTTATAAAAAAATAAGGATAGAATTAACACTGATACATATCTTTTCTTAACAATAGTTAATATTGATCCATGGTACTGAAATTAGCTAAATAAGCCTCATTTATCTCATTAACAGATGCAATACAAATAATACTTTGTTATTAATTTGTCACAATTTAAATATAAATGTATATAGTTTTGATCAGTTGTGTACTCATAATGATTATATAATTCAGAAGTATTAAGATTTGGAGTCCAATGGTCAAAGTAAATTCTAAAGAATTACTGAGAACCATGAAAATGTAGGATGTCAACAAAAGAATTTCAAGAATGAAATACGTTACATTAATCTAAAATCCTGCAGCGGGAAGTGAAGTGAAAATTTGAGTTCATGGAGAAAAATAATTTATAATTTCTGACTGTTAAACATGACCATTTAAAAAAAATACATAAAAGTGATTACCAAGTTGCTAATGCATTTGAATTCCATTGGCCATATTTATAAAAATAATATAACAATCTAATTTAATAATATCAATATTAAGAATCTTTAAAAATTATACATCTTAACGCTATTTAAACTGATAATTAAAAACATATTTCAATTTAAACATACTCAAGGAAACATGTAATTTTACAAAATTCCTGTTAAAAATTTGTGTTTAATTTTTGTCTCATCCACAAAATATAAAACTTTTAGGGGAAATAATACCTTTCTATCCTTCTTTTTATCCACATACAGCTATTGTTTTTCTCTCCAAGTACTGAAATTCTACCCATTCTTAAGGAGACACATCAAATCCTATTTCTTTTTTTAAAACTGCTCTGATCATCCCAGCTAAAACAACAGCTTCCTCCTTTAAATTCTATTGACAGCTACTACTTGTATTATTCATGCATAATATAATATCTATTTCTGTCCCCTGAGAGCTGCATCTTTCTTCCTTTTAATAGTTCCTGTAGCACTTAGTACAGTTTCCTTTTCATTATGAGGGAGGTTACATAAATATTTGTCCACCAGCTAACTGTAAATAGATTGTAGATTGTAGCTAAATACTAAAGACAGATAATATTTTCAAATTGGTGGAATAATGACTCTTCATTACCTGAATATATATTTATATACACCTATGTTCATTCATTCTCTCACTATTATCTACCGATTCCAAATAACTTTGGAAACCTGCAGAAAATTTCTTAATTCATAATTGATTAGAGTTTAAATTCTGTTAGGGCAAGGGCCTTGCTGGTCTTCTTTTTTATTTTATCAGAAGCATCTATCACGTTGCCTGACACACAGAATATACTCAAACATTTGTTCAATACACAAAATGAGTCAAGTACTACTTTCATTAAAATATTTAAATTAAAATATCTAGTCATATTCTTTGAGAATGTGCCCTAAAATTTAGTTCTTGCAACTTTAAAATGATAATATGTACTTCAGAGGTGATATTGCTATATATTAATAATTAGGCATATTCAGTCATTTATCTGATGTGGTTTAGTACCATGGAAGCTTTCTGTTGTTGTCGTTGTTCAGTAGGTATTAAAACAAAACTTAGCCCTGCAATCTCAAATGTTAAAAGAACAAATAGTTGGAAAGGCAGCATAGAAAAATGTAGGCCCAAGAAAAGTCTACAGTTTTTTTGAGATGAACTCTTCTGTCACAATGTTAAATTAAAGCTGTCATTTTAGATCTCCTGAATCCCTTGCTTAGAAACATGACAGTTTAGTCCTGGAGATTGATTTAGATAACACTGCACATAAGGGAAAAATTTATTCTCTCAGTAATTCTCTACAAGATGTCCTTAATATTTAAAATGTGTTTTACTTTTCGATATTTAACATTCATTCATACTCCAGAAATGATATCCAAAGGTAATGGATTAGCAATATATATTTTTCCTCAATTTTTGTCAGGGTGAACCACCTAAAGAACCACCTAAAACATTCTCACGTTTTCTCTGAGAAATGTCAGTTCTGTCGGTGGGTTGATGATCCTTTTAAATGAACTCTCAGTTGACTTTTCATATTTATTTTCCTTTCAGTTTTAGAAAAGTTTGCATCCAATTTAATGCAATTATTTCATTTCGAGAGTTTTGAAATAAAAAAGAGTTTAAAAATCGATCCGAATGAAAAGAGGTTGAAAAGAAAAACGTCAGCAATGGGCAATTCAATGAAAATTGTCTTTAGAAACTATGGTATTGACTTTCTGCCTTAAATTGACTTCTGAAACAGAAAGACCTGTGTTGACAGAGCTCCTGGTTGTTTTGGCAACTACTTATGGGCAATAGGTAGAGCCACAACTATCCTTTGGGAATAAAAGTAAAAGATACTGGGCTTGAAAAGATGCTATAGGACTAACGAATAAAGATCACACATTTACAGAGCAAAGCAATATTACGCCTAAATGACATCAAAATTTCCTCTAATGGCTTGGAATAATATATATAATTTTTCATGCTTTTTTTCCCTTTTCTTCTTACTATCAGTAATTTTGGAAAGGAAAATTCAGTAATTCCCCATTCTCATACAATTCCTACTGCGGCTGCTTTGGTTGGCAGGTACGGGAACCTCTGCACAGAGCATTCAGACAAGAAAGGAAGATTAAAGTGACTTCAGTATTGAATTTGGTGGCCTGCCTGTGTTTGAGTTTTTACTCCGTGACACTATTGACCACAACTTTCCTCTTAGAATTTGATTTCGACAACAGCATACTCTTCTGATTATTCCTCAATATCTGCCCCAGGCATACTTGTTTATTCCTTCTTTTTGAAATAATTCTTATGTTTTTTTTAAAAAAAAAAACTACATATTTTTCAGGAAAATGAAATCTTTATCACTCATACATTCTTCTCTCCTAAATTTCTTTTATTTCTAGTTGCCCACTGAATGTCAAAATTTTATATACTGTTAATGGTTATCCCAATATCTAAAATTATTTGGGATTGGACACTAAAACTTCTGAATGTAGTTTCTGCCAACTGTCACTCATTGTAGCTAATTTATTTGAGAACCACGTGATCTTTCACTTTAAGATCATATTTAGTTCATCTTTGTGTGTGAGCATCTTGAGGGCCAACTTTGGAGTTAGTTTTCTGCAGAGAGGATTTGCATTTGCTTCTCCCTGAGCCAAATAATCCTATTAACCTGTGACTATCTGAGCACCTTTCAGGTTACTGGCCTACCTTGAGGTCTCAGGTTAAGAAAAACCACTCATCCCTTGCCAAGGTTTAGATTCTATATGCAGTGCATTTTCTTTCCAAAACCAACCAACCAAACAAACCAATGGCTTTGTGTTGGCTCAATGCTTACTACTCTTCTGTGTCAACTATTTTCTGTTTGTTTGCTGGGAGGCTACTAGATTTCCTATCAGAGCACAGATAGACTGTGATTTATACAAGATATAACTTTGTTCCACAGTATCCTTCATAGCCAATCCATACAGTACCAATTTTGTTACATTTTTAAAAATTTATAATGTTATCAGGTATTTCTACACAGCAAAACAACTGAGATAATTACCTGTATTAGTCTGTTTTCACACTGCTATAAAGAATTGTCTGGGACTGGGTAATTTATAAAGGAAAGAGGTTTAATTGACTCACAGTTCAGCATGGCTGGGGAGGCCTCAGGAAACTTACAATCATGAGGAGGGGCTATAGGTCGGAGGTAAAGCGTTGGACTACTGATCAAGAGGAAACTTAACAATCATGGTGGAAGGGCAAGGGGAAGCAAGGCACCTTCTTCACAAGGCAGCAGGAAGAAGTGCCGAGCGAAGGAGGAAGAGACCCTTATAAAACCATCAGATCTCATGAGAACTCACTCACTATTATGAGAACAGCATGGGGAAAACTGGGCCTATGATTCAATTATCTCCACTTGGTCCCACCCTTGACCCATGTGGATTACGGGAATTATACGGATTACAATTCAAGATAAGATTTGGGTGGGAACACAAAGCCCAACTATATCATTACCCTTTATCTATTTTATTATTTTATAGCTGAGTATCTTTCTCCCTTGTTATATTCAACTTTTGTTTTTCTCCTCCCCTCCTTTATTGGTATATTTTGACTATTCATATATTTTTTCTGTTCATTATGCTGTCTTCAGAAATTGTTCAGACATTTCTTTGGGGCAAATACACTGTGGGCAATTTCTTTTGTTATCTATTAATCTTAGCAATTTAGAATAAATTTTAGAGCTGGGTATTTCATATTTTATTTATCTTTCTAAGGCCTGAGTGAAGATTGGAATACTAAATCAACTGAAGAAATATATGTCATTTAATTGAATAATTGTGCTTTTTTCCCTCTTCTTAGAAGTTCTTAGTATTTCTATACTGCAACCCATACTACTTGAAGATGCATCCCATTCCCAAAGGAGATATGCAAGACCTATTCAAATAATTGGGCAACCCTGCAGTCTTGGCTTATATCGAAGGCAGTCATTCCCTTTGCACATTTTCCCTATTTTTCTAATTTCTTCCTAACAGATATACATTCCCATTTTGCTCCATTATATAAAAAGGAACCTAAGGACACAAACTCAGTTAACTTATCTTCAGGTTCAGGGTAGCAAAAATAATTTTCAAGGTTTTGTTGCTTCATTTGAAGATCTTTAGTTTTTTCATCGCTCATAAATTTTGAAAATTATTGTATTAAGTTTAGGCTATAATTGCATTTGGTTACTCTTATTAAAATTACTTGTTTTTATCTTTTGGTTGTTTTTGCTATTTACAAAAGCTGTTAGACAAAAGAAATCTTGTATTGATGATTCACTCTTCCATTCCCTAAAGCAAATATTCATCTGGTAATGAGTTTTCTCTACCATTGGAAATTCACAGCAAATGGTTTCAGTTATGAATTAAAGAAAATGCTTCAGGTATTTTCTCATTCACTGTTCTCAACTTTCTCTACAAGTTTTTTCCCTTTCTCCAACGCTTTCCTCTCCTCAATTGTTATACGATTAGTAAAAATTGAGTATGTACAGCATAATTAGGCTTCTCTCTAACTACTATGTCTAAAAAAATGAATAAAATATGATTCATCAATATCTTAATCAAACATGGGCCTAATTTCATGGCTTATATTTACTATATCTAGAGTACTTTTTAGTGCTACTTTTACAGGTTCTAACCGAAATATGAAAATAAAACATTACAGGTAAAATATTTTGAATCTGAGAAATGCCTTACAAAGTGACTAACAGCACAGCACACCGGTTTTGAACCCAGGTGCTGCCACTTCTTAGCTTTTTTACATTGGCAACGTTATATGATATTTCTTATTTTTGTTTATAAGATGAGGAAAATTACTAAATATTTCTCATGATTGTTTTATGAATTAGATGAGAAAATATATGGACTTTTCTTTAGCTATGCTACCTGGCATAAAGTATGTACCTGATAATTTAAGATTTTGACCCAGTCTTTTTATTTGTAATTTTCCCATAATAATCATTTTCTTGATTCAGATACTGCTATGGAAATGACTTATTCGTACATAGAACTATAATAATCTACCACAATACTTAAGGACATTCTACAAACTGGTGATTATTTTAAAACCTAGGCCAGGCGCGGTGGCTCACACCTGTAATCCCAGCACTTTGGGAGGCCAAGGGCGGGCAGATCACAAGGTCAGGAGATCAAGACCATCCTGGCTAACACAGTGAAACCTCGTCTCTACTAAAAATGCAAAAAATTAGCCGGGTGTGGTGGCGGGCACCTGTAGTCCCAGCTACTTGAGAGGCTGAGGCAGGAGAATGGCGTGAACTCGGGAGGCAGAGTTTGCTATGAGCCAAGATGGAGCCACTGCACTCCAGCCTAGGTGACAGAACCAGACTCCGTCCCAAAAAAAAAAAAAAAAAACACCTGTGTTTAGATATAAACTTCAATTTTTTCTTTAGCTGAGAAAATTCAGACTGTCATAGAACTAAGGACTTTGGACTGGGAGCTAACATATATATTAGTGCTGACGAGACACTATTTGGATGAATTTCAAAACTAATAATTATATTACTTCAATTGTATACAGTATTTTACAGTATACATTTATTTTCTAATATATACCATATCAATGAATTAAGTCAGCAAACGTCTTTGCTCTTTGGCTTCATCATTTGAAATTCAAGGAATTTTGAATTATGTAATCTCTAAGGTACTTTGGGGTTCTAAAGTTCTATGAAAAATTGATATTTAATTTTATAAAATTATATTAGAACTTTACTGTGAAGTTTGAACACATAGCAATTTGTACTTCGGAGCAATTTCTGCGAACAAATAAATGTAATGGTTAGAAGGAAATTAATTGTTTCTCCATTAGGGCACCATTTATTGAATTACTCTTTCAAGGTAATTGTGAAGAGTCTTGTGACTTAAAAGAACAATGTGTCATTCAAATGCAAAATTCATTCCACGGACTGATTAAAACATAAGAAGATTATGTGTCCAAAACTAATTTAGTTCCAATAAAAAGAAAGTGTGTATACAGCATGTTAGGCTTTTATCTAGGTACTATGTTTAAAAGATAAATAAAATATTATTCATAAATATCTTACATCAACTGTAAGGATAATTTTATTTCTTATGTCTACCGCCTAATCCTTCAGACACGGCAAAAAAATAATTCTGCTCTTATGATGCTTTCTAACATATAAAAATAATTTCCACTATCAGTAAGAAAACTCTGTCACTCATCAAATCTCATTTGTAGTGAATACTACATATTTTCCATTTGATAACATTATTTGAAACTTCTGAGATTTCAGAATACACTTAAAAGGAATTTTGAAATAGAAACATTTTTCATTGTGTAGCCCAATAACATTCCATTTGTAATATTTTGATGTACTATTTGTATATTTTTTTGCCCCTCCCTAGTTCTTAGAATCGGCTAATGTGAATTTCATCTCATAACTTTTGTATAATGTAACATGGGGTCATCAGTGTGAATACTCTGCTCAGGCTCAATGTTATTCTAAGAAAATATTGGGATGAAAACAACTATTTGCAATAAGAAACGATTCCAGGTTATTGCTATTAGATAGTAATTTACCTAATTTTAAAATTTTCCATCCTTTCTCTTGACTTTAAGCTATAATCTCAGGTCTCACTGAGTACAATCTGTTTACTCCTTTCCCTAGAAGCAACCCATTCCATAAATTAACCCTACTTTGATTAGGTATGAAAAACAGAGACAAATGTCTGAAACTGTGTCGGATATATCACAAATGGGGTAAGCTTAAGACTCCCCTATCATATTCCTTTTACACATCTTATCTTTGCTCCATTGAGTACATTAATATTAGAATAATTCTTATTATTTAGATATAGTCAATCTTCATTATTCCCAGATTCTGTATTTGCAAATTGGCCTAGTTGCTAATATTTATGTGGAGCCCTAAAAATCAATACTCAAAGCCCTTTCCCTTTCAGACATGTGCAGAAGAGCAAAAAAAAAAAAAAAAAAAAAACTTGCTTCAATGCAAGAGCACCTATCTAACTGAGGTTAAACAGAACAAAACTTGCCTTCTTGTTTCAGCTCTCATACTGAGATGACCAGGGGATGGAGATGGCAGTACAATATAGTGCAATAAGGTCTGGACTGGGTTTAGTTAGGCAGGGTTTGAATTCTAACTCTTTCATTGTTAGTGGGGTGGCCTCAGGCAAATGACTGAACACATTTAAACTTTGTTTTCTTTTAAGGAAATAGAATCTACTAGGATGAGTTGTTTTTAAGATTTAAGATTATCATCTTTTACATGTAACTATATACATAGTTCTTCCCCTAAGGACAATGGCTTAGTATTTGCTAATTCAGTGTTTGTGGGGACATCACAGTCTTTATAGAACATTACTGGGCATAATGAGGACAGACAGTCTATACAATATACATACATATACACACATATGTACATACACAATATATGTGTATACATATACATACATACACAAACATATATATATATATATATATATATATATTTCTACCAGCAATACTTTTTGCCAAATAGTGAGAAATATTTATTCTCTGAGTTTCTTCAAATATTACTGAAAAATCTTCATTTTCTTAACTAAAGTAATATGATGAGCTCTTTTCAGTAACTCTTTTTCCCCAAACACTGGGGAATAACACTAAAAGTGTTTTAGCCTTTGTAACTGGCCTAATATTAAATCTAGCTGTCTGGTAATTTGACTTTAATATTGGGCAATTACCTTTTTCTGTGCATCAGTTTGTCGATCAAAAAAATATTAAGGGTTTTTACTGTCCCTTCCAGAATTGTTATTTTAAAAATCTCTTAATTTGGTCAGTAGAATAATGTAGAGCAAAAAATACATCCATGACCATAGACCCTTCCCACACTGATTCTGGGCTTTGCCAACAGACTTGCTTTAGTCAAATGGACATCCACCTAAGTGATACCAGTAGACCAATAGAGGTTTTATAAGCGCTTGGGGAATTGTCTTCTGAGATTTTGCTGCCACCACAAGAGAAAACCTGGTGGGGCCACCTTGAGAGATAAAGAGAGACCCACACATACCAGCTGTCCAAGTTGAACCAGTTCCCAGCTGACCCTCCATCTAAAGGCTACCAACATCAGTGAGTCCATGTAGGAACAGCAGAAGAACCTCCACTAATCCACAGAATCATGAGAAATAATAAATTATTTTTACAAGGCAGTAAGGTGAGATGGTTTCTTATTTAGGAAAGGCTAACTGAAATGAGTAATGGCACACAAATTTGGCAAACTCCTTAAGTATTATTTGTTCATATTAGAAAGGACATTTTAAATATTGTGAGTAATTTTCAAACCATACAAATATAAGTTTTGAGAAAGCAATTAAAGTTCTTTAACATTTTCATTTTTTTTCCACAGGGAAACAGATTGCAGAGGAAGATTAAAACTCAATATCTATTTAGCTAATGGCTTTTATTTAAGTCAGCATTAAAATAATGTTCAAGATCATTATCCATGAACTTTCTGTGAAGTTAGAAAAATTCACACATGTTCAACATACTTCTGAAAACGAGTTAAAAAGTTTATTGAACAATTGGAAGTTCCTTAAAGAAACGAGTAGTTTTTTATTCCTCTTTCTGTTTGCTAACACAATGGTAAGCTCATGCTAGGTAGTTGAGAATTGTTATATAAAACATTTGTAGACTGGGTGCAGTGGCTCACACCTGTAAACACAGCACTTTGGAGACCAAGACAGGCGAATCGCTTGAGCTCAGTAGTTCCAGACCAGCCTGGGCAACATGGAAAGAAATCCCATCTCTATAAAAAACACAAAAATTAGCCAGGCATGGTGGTATGCATCTGTAGTCCCAGCTACTCGGGAGGCTGGGGTGAGAGGATCACTTGAGTCCAGCAGGAGACAGAGGCTGCAATGAGCCATGATCACACCACCACTCTCCAGCCTGGGCAACAAAAGATGACCCTGTCTCAAAAATAAAATAAAATAAAATAAAATAAAATAAAATAAAATAAAATAAAATAAAATAAAATAAAAACAATTGTACAATTTTAGGCAAATTATGCAACTTTTTGAGCCTCAATTTCCACATCTATAATACAACAAGAGTAAATCTTTACCCTAGGCATTTTCAGGTGCAGAATTTCATGAAACTGAAAAATGCAGGTTCCTAGGGTAGGGATTTACTCTTGATAGTCACAAAAAATTGCAGTTTTACCTTTTTCAACATAATTATCTTTAACTAGATAAATAATGTAATGTTTATAAAATCGAAAGGTTTCTAAACTGTTCTTGGTTTCTATTTATTTTATTACTTTTCTCCACAAGTTCCTTGAAAAACTAATGATTAATAGTGCATATGCATGATATACTCATTAGCTAATAGCAGCAGAATGTATTGACAGTTTTTAGCCTCCCATGGTTTTTATGTCAAGTAAACTTATTAATGTAGTCAAACAAATTTCTGCTTTTCTGTAGGTACTATACACAAGAATTTTATTTATTATTTTGTGGGTCTTTCATATTATTCATTGTAGAATTCTGCATGATGCTTCTCAGTTATATTTTTCCAACAATGGATGACTTTTGAAAGCCCTCTTATCCTTTGCATGTTTAGTGTTTCTGTAACACATTTAGCGATAAATTTGATGAAATTCAAATATATAGATATATATAATGTTAACTTACTATTATATAACTCTACAATAAATGTATAATGTAATTATAAAATAATTTATTCAAGCAAATCATGCTAATTTTAGAGATTTTCTCTACAATAATGAATTGACATTTATGAGGTGCAATTTCCACATAACTAGTACTTTTTTATTTTATTTTATTTTTAGACGGAGTCTCGCCCTGTTACCCAGGCAGGAGTGCAATGGCACGATCTTGGCTTACTGCAACTTCTGCCTCCTGGGTTCAAACAATTCTCCTGCCTCAGCCTCCCAAGTAGCTGGGACTACAGGAACCCACCACGACACCCAGCTAGTTTTTGTATTTTTAGTAGAGATGGGATTTCACCATGTTGGCCAGGCTGGTCTCGAACTCCTGACCTCGTGATCTGCCCACCTCGGCCTACCAAAGTGCTGGGATTACAGGCGTTAGCCACTGCACCTGGCCATAACTAGAACTTTTATAAATACTTTACACATATTGATTACTTTAATATGTACAATAACCCTTGAGTTACAAAATTTACTTCTGTTTTACAAATAAAGAAACTGGCATAGGGAATTTTTATAACTTCATTAAGTTGTATGGCTGTTAAGTAGTAAATCTAGAAGTTGAAATCAGCTAACTTGATTTCTATTATCTTCTTATATTTTCAGAATTGTGATAAATGCTCACAATGATAGAAGAGGATAGTTAAGATACTGTTTTTTTAAGTTTAAAGGGTCAGTGAGACAAACTGGCAAGAAGTGCTTAATAAATATGAAAAATCGTGTGCCTAAAACAAAACATTAAGTTTACTCTGAAGTTGTGCAGTAGAGAATAATTATAGCAAACATTCTAAACAGCAGCATATTTTTAATATACATGAATGTCAATCCCTACATAGCTTCTCTGAGGTAGATATAATTATCACTTTTTAAGAAATGAAGAAATTGAAGTTCAGAGTTTAAGTAATTTATCAAGGCTAATCAGTCTGTCAGTAAGTGATAATGCTGATGTCTAAGCTTATGTTTGTTTGGCTTAGAAAGTCTTCTCCCTTTGTTACAGCCCAGAAAATAGACTATGAACAACAGTAGGCTTGGGGCAAAGAGGCTTAGACTTCCCTTCGCCTCAAAACATGAAAAAGCTTATAAATACAAGAGCCAGACCAAGTAAGCCCAGAAAAATAGGGGGAGACATTCTGAATAAACCAGTCTTTGAAAGCCAGGCTAAGAAGTAGGGAAGGGTACTAGAAATTACTGAGGTTGGGAATGAAGTCCATTCAACCTTATGAGGAGGACTAGCCTAAATTGTATTGACTATATTTAAGGAGGAAAGTCAGCTAAGAGAGTACATAGCCTATTGAGTTAATAGGCAAGAGATCTTTGGTGGCAGAAATATCAATGTAAAGAAGACTACAGGCAAAATAAATTGTATTCATTCGGATAAAACCTTGCTTCTATAAATCACTTTTCAAATGCACATTCATTTAGCATACAGACCAGATTAGCTGACTAAACATAAAAGTGAAAGATAATAATAAAAACAAGGTTATTTCAAGGCTAACTTTACATCTTTATTATTTGCAGGCCAATAACTTTACTGACTGAAATAGAAGGATTGGAAGAAAAAAATTTGCAGGTAAAAGTCATAATAAAATCAGTGGTAAATTTATTAAAACTGAGGTGATACTGAACTAACCAAGTGAAAATATAAATGATAGTTAAGAACATTTGTCCAGACCCAGAAGAAAAGACAGAATCTAAATTATAATTTGTGATCAATAGCACATTCTCCAAAGTTGAGATCTTAAGATAAAATGTCACAGAAAGAAAATAATGTGCACCAAGGCTTCAAAAATGTCCACAGCTAAAATCCAGCAATAAGAGAAATCAACAAAGGAAACTGTATAAGAGCAATCTGAGAGGCAGAGGGAAACTAAGATAAGATGCAGCCACAGTAATCAAGAACATGAGGATGAGGATTCTACAAATCCAAGGAAGTTTGGTTGTTTTTTTTTTTTTTTTAATGACAAAGTCTCGCTCTTCTCCCCCAGGCTGGAGTGCCGTGGTGCGACCTTGGCTCACTGCAACCTCCGCCTCCTAGGTTCAAGCGATTCTCCTGCCTCAGCCTCCCGAATAGCTGGGATTACAGGAGCCTGCCACCACGCCTGGCTAATTTTTGTATTTTTAGTAGAGACAGAGTTTCACCATGTTTGTCAGGCTAGTCTCGAACTCCTGACCTCAGGTGATCCGCCTGCCTCGGCCTCCCAAAGTGCTGGGATTACAGGTGTGAGTCACCGCGCCCGGCCCTAAGGAAGTACTTTAAAAGAGAGGGGAACTTCTATGAACCACATATTAAATAATGTTACGTCCTCTGAAATATAAAAAAGAAAATGGTTGAGTGAATGGAAGATAGAGGACGCTGTCCATTTCCTTAGTTAACATCTCTTATTCTTCCATCCAGCAACATCCTGACTCTTTGAGGATAGAATAAAAAGAGAGTAAATCCAATGTAAAGAATGCAAGAAAAATTGTCTTTTACATATGGGAAAGATAAATTAATGTTAGTAAAGATGTACATACATGCCCAGCACTAAGTAAGTGTGAATAAATGTTTGCTACAAACAATATGATACACAATCAAGAAACTGGAGGCGCCATTTGAACAGAGAATTTATTCATTGAGAAATGAAGGAAATTAACTGTTATTAAACAAGTATTGTGTATTCAGGCACCATAAATGCTCTGAAAAGTTTCTAGTGAAATAAAAAGTAGTATTTATTATAAACTTACTTATTGCCACCAATGTGACTAACACTCTACCTCATTAGCTGAGGTGAAATGGAACTCTTAAGAATAAAAATAAAAGGAGGATATATACATACATATATGTATGCAAACACACCACACTCACACACATACACACACCACACCCATATATTATTTATATATAAGCTATATATATGATTAAATAGGGACACTTATACACATGCATATAAATATACATATATAAATATACAAATATAAATATAATTGTGTATATATAAATATATAAATGTATATATAAATATATATAAATACACACACATAAATATAGTATTATCCCATAAGGTGGAAAACCACAAACTATAAAGCAAATTAACTAATTGTTTCCCGATTAAATTTTGATCATATGAGTATTCAGGCACATACATAAAATTTAAAACAAAAACTGTATTAACTCTCTAGTATCAACATGGTGATATTCTTTATTTATGGATACCTGTAGGAAAAGAGGTGGGACTAGATTTGACTATGTGTACATATAAATGATCTTAAAAATATAAAGATTAGCTAGTTAGGCAATATATTTGCATATATAGATGCATATATACACACAGGCCAAATATATATGTATACATATATGTATGTAAGTATATCTATACTACACTCAAACTTTTGAAGTATTTATTCAGATAAAAGAAGATTAAGGTGATATGATTAAATAGGCACACTGAAGTTTCTGTCCCTCTGAAGTAATGTTGGCAAGTAAGCAGTAGATTTTGTATCTGCTTATACAAGAATAAAGGATAGATAATCATTGAAGAAATGTATGTTAGGTGTTATTACACTTTTTTTCTCACTAACGTGCACAGAAAGTGTAAACATAGTGAGATTGGGCATTTTAGCTCTTCACTATTTTACACACATATGCCATCATTTTTAACTAGGATATTTGCTTGTTTGTTAAACATCACAATGTCACAGAAGCCTGTGTATTTTGTTTCTTTATTCTTTCCTTCATTTTCAGTACTATCTTCTGACAAATAACCTCTGACTTAATATGACTTTTCAGGAAATTATTGGTAGTTAATTAACAAATGATATATTTTCTTTCTCTCTCTCTCTTTCTCTCTCTCTCTCTTTCTTTTTGAGACAGAGTTTTGCTCTGTCAGCAAGGGGAGAGTGCAGTGGGGCGATCTCGGCTCACTGCAACCTCCACCCCCTGGGTTCAAGTGATTCTCGTACCTCAACCCTCCCGAAGAGCTGGGACTACAGGCGCCCACCACCACACCCAGCTAATTTTTGTATTTTTAGTAGTGACAGGGTTTCACCATGTTGGCCAGGCTGGTCTCGAAGTCCTGACCTCAGATGATACAGCTGCCTTGGCCTCCCAAAGTGCTGGGATTACACGCGTGAGCCACGGCACCCACCTATATTTTCAATAAAGTTACTGAAAGTCTCAATAGAAAAGATTCAAAAATAGTCCTGCTTCTTTGTGTTCCAAATCATAAAAGCTTTAACACCACTGGCATTCCTATCTGTTTCAGACTGGTAAAATTAATGACCCATAAACAAGTATTTTAAGTACAATATTTAGGTCACCAGCCAATGACCCACTTCCTAGAAAACCACCTGATACTATCTTATTTCTAATTTGTAATCTAGGTAGCACTGTCTCAGGAAAGCATAGCTCTATATGCTGCATGCACAAGCAGTCGTATACTCTAACAGAGCAAATTTCTATTTGAGCCATTGCTATTAAATATTTATGAATTCATAATTTTGAAGCCTTTTACAAATGAGAAGTGACATCAGTTTGCATTTTTCATGGCGTTCTGGTTTGGACTGTCAGCAAAAACTGACTCATGACACTTATTGCAACGTTTTGTCAAAACACCATGAAAATGTACACAGGCTACCCACTATTTCTGAAAAATCAATATTTAAATATTTACATAATAAAACATCAATAACAACAATTCATTTGGGACCATGCAGCATCCTTCTGAATAATTCACAATTACACATAGATAAAAAGGAAAAAGGGCAGGAGCTAACCATTCTTGGATGGCTTGTAATTCAGATCCACCTGTTTTAGGATCAAAGAAAATATTTCCATGTTTTCATTTGTCTGAGCATTTTGATAGGTAGATCCAGACAGTCTTTTATTCAACAAGTCGCTAGTGACTTCAATCCTTGTTTTTCTTTCTTCTATCCAGTATCTTTGTCTGTTTATTTTTTTCATTTTCAAAGCACTTTCACACTCAAATATTAATTCTTTTGTGAATTATTTTATCACTTTATTCAACTATTTTTGAATACTTACTAAATAAATAACACAGTGCTAGACATCATAAAGTAAGAAAAATTTGGAAAGTCTTAATATCAATATAGGCAAGGAGACATGTATAAGTCTGGCCAATCACAGTGCCATCCACATGGATCCGCTTCCTACCAGGAATGTTACCCTTCCCACAGCATCAATTTCCAACTATTCTCAGTAGTCATGTTTTGTATCACTTCGTTCACAGACTTGGAACAGGCCACAGATTTCTCATTACTGGTTATAATATCATCTCTGCTTCCTTTTTCTTTTACCATAGAGGTTTAAAGTGCAGGATTTGGGAAAGAAACTAAAGCATGGATTTTACAAATTCAAGAAACTGGTTTTATATGTCTTTGTTCTAGCCTTTATTGCAGGAGTCACAGACATATTCATGCGTATTCACAAGCATACATAGACGAATAGAGTCACACCAAATAATCAAGATTAAAATAAAACACGCTGATAGAAAAACACTAGAGCTCTGTCCCCATAATTTCCACAAAAACTCTGTCTCTTTGATTAACACAGGTATACTTAAACAACAGCCCTCAAAGCCAGGTGCAGTGCCTCACACCTGTAATCCCAGCACTTTGGGAGGCCAAGGTGGGTGGATCACCTAAGGTCAGGAGTTCAAGACCAGCCTGGCCAATGTGGTGAAACCCGGTCTCTACTAAAAATACAAAAATTAGCTGGGCATGGTGGCACATGCCTGTAATCCCAGCTACTCGGGAGTCTGAGGAGGGAGAATCGCTAGAACCCGGGAGGTGGAGGTTGCGGTGAGCCAAGGTCACGCAGCACTCCAGCCTGGGCAAGAGAGCAAGACTCCATCTTAAAAAAAAAATATATATAGCCCTCATAGCTATGGGTAGCTAAATGAGTCCAGTACTTTCCATGGAACAAAGTTAGCAAGGCATGCACTCAAATAACTACAACAAATGTGAAAATGCCATAAAAAAGGTAGCAGAGCAATTCTGCTTAGGATGATCAGGGAAACATCCTGGAGGAGATTACAACTCAGGATTTAATGGAGAGATAACACAGGGTATTTTCCTGGAATTCACTTCTCATTCTTATCAATAGTACGGAGGCAGAGAACCCCAGATCTCAATCCAATAGTCCAGATGGGCTGGACACTGATGGAAACGCATGGAGTCACATCTCAAAATATATTAAAAATGACTTTGAAGACTTTAGCCTTTTCATAACAATGCATTTAAAAAAAAAGAGTTCTGAGCCAAGCTGTAAGATTACCAAACTGTTTTAGAGTTACTAATATGGCCAAGACTCTTAATATCCACATGCTTAATTCACTCCTAATTTTACAATTTTAATTTTTGAGAAAACAATCTGAATGCATCAATTCCTATTTTGAGTCAACCTCTCATAAGTTACTTTGGTGCAACCAAATCCAATCATCAATGAAAAAGGGAAGAAGGAGATGCTAGTTTGAGGCTGCCCCTCAAACAAGAGCTGAGAATTTTGCAGTTTCACATTGGAGGAAATATAGGCTATGCCAGAACATTATTCACATGTTCAGTGCAAGGGGCTGAGACAGTTTTAGATGCTAGTATATTAACGTGGGGGTGTTTCTAACATATGTTAGAAAGTTCTAGGAAAGATCTAGACAAAAATTAGGGCAGAGGAGAATTTGAATGTTCAAGATTATTTTATTGTTTGTATAAAGTAGTTAAGATTAAAAGCAATACAAAAGGGAATCCCATATGTAATTGTTTAAAAGAGGTTAAGATGAGGTAACTAGACTAAATATTATACTAATCAGAAATTATTCTCAATATTTTGACGCTCTTTAGAGAGAGTTAAGGCATGATTTGTTAATTGATTGCTAAAGAGAAAATGCAAGGCTCACACAACTTCAACCTTAAAATATCAAATACAAAGTATTTCCAGGTGGGGTGGCTCATACCTGTAATCCCAGCTACTTGGGAGGCAGGAGTGGCAGGACTCCTTGAGGCTATGTGTTTCAGACCAACCTGGACAACATAGCAAGACCCTCATCTCTAAATAATGTTAATAATAAAAATTTTAAAAACCAAAGTATTGTCTTACCAGCTCTGTTATGATATCATCTAGAGTGTAGGAGATTGCAATCAGTTCACCGTAATTAGTGTGCTCTTCTTACTGAACACACAGCTAATTACGTATCCCAGCTTCCCTTGCAATTTAGTGTGATGATCACGGGATTACATTTTCACCAACAGAATATGACTTCCAAGCCTGGACATATCTATGCACTTCAAAACTTGCTCCTTCATAATGCTTCCCCTTTTGCTGACATTTTAAGATCATCAATTCATGTTGCCAAATATTAAGCATCCAGAAAAAAAAAAGTTATGTAAGAATGGAAAAGAATGAAGAAGAAATGTTACACAAGGCTATGGACAAAGTCATCAGAGAACCAAAGTCCAACAATCTTGTGTAGGTTTTAACAATCTTGCCCAACTAGTGATTATCTATCTGAACAGGTAACCTACAAATAATTCTGAAAGTCTTTGCAGAAAGCACAGTGGATTAGACAACCTAAGTTGACTATTTGTGTTAGGTATAATGGTATACAAATATTCCCTTAATAATATTTTTATATATATAATTTTTTAAATTATAGGAGGTCAAATCAAATAAACAAGAAATTGTATTTTATGTTCAAACCAAACAGTTCAGATTTTAAATGTTAGTAATAATTCCAGTTGTCATTTTAGGTGTACAAGAAGTCATTAACTTAATAAGAAAATTTCAACAGCAAAATATATCCCTTTTAACTCAGCAGTATCCCAATAAACTTAATTCACTAAAAATTAGCTGGTATAATTTATAAGAGTACTGACTAAGATAAATCACTTCTAAATGTAATTATCCTCATTTATTGAAAGTTATAGAAAAAAATGTGAAGGAATGTTTTCTGTTTTAACAGAAGAAACTGTTCTAGAGTGAATTAAATCCTCAGTATAACCACAGAAATACTAATGCATTCATTATGGTATTCAATCATCTTAATGCTTTAACATTTACCATTTTTTCTGATTTATTCGAATGATCCATATTGTTTTCTACATTTTGTCTTTTATTACAACCACATCTGCATTGATCTAAATGTTTTATGTATATTTTAAATACTATTTCCTCTCCATTACCAAATACTAATGTATTTCATTGCATAAATTGATTTGTGAATCTTAATTGTTGGACAGCGGCAAGATGCATGTATCTTATCTAAAAATACTTATAAATATATATCTAGATTTAGATACAAATTTGTGATATTTCTTTTTTTCTTTTTCTTTTTTTTTTTTTTTTTTGAGACAGAGTCTTGCTCTGTCACCCAGGCTGGGGTGCAGTGGCGCAATCTTGGCTCACTGCAACCTCCGCCTTCCGGGTTCAAGCGATTCTCCTGCCTCAGCCTCCTGAATAGCTGGGATTCCAGGTGCACACCACCACGCCAGGCTAATTTTTGTATTTTCAGTAGAGACGGGGTTTCACCATGTTGGCCAGGCTGGTGTTGAACTCCTGACCTCAGGTGATCCGGCCACCTCAGCCTCCCAAAGTGTTGGGATTACAGGCGTGAGCCACCGCGCCTGTCTATGTATTTCTAAATGCTAAGTATTTAGCCCATTTGTGTACAAGTTTATTTTTAACGTTATTTTTTTAGATTCACAGTGCATATTTCCTCTCTAAAATCTTAAATATATATACACACACACGCACACACACACACAGAGATCTACACATCTAAATGAACTAGCTCATTAACATGCCTCCTGATTCCTTCTCTGCTCTCCTCCAACAGTCTGTGCTATAGCCGTACTGGACATTAAGTTCCTTGATTACATAGAATTTGTTTTTGCCTTTGGCCTTTTAATATGAGCTTATTTCTCTCCCATGGGCATTTTTTATACAAATGCTTATATGTGTAATCCTCATCATTTAGGTCACTCTATCGAAAAGATAAATGGCACATATTACTTTATAACCCATTTTCTTCTATTTTTATTTCATAGTGTTCATTAAAATCAGAAATTATTTAACTTATGTGTGATTTTGCTTATTTTGTTCACTACATATCACCAGTTCTATAGCGTCACAACATCATCGAAGACTTGCACACTGTATTTTGACTTTGTGTGTAAGTGCTGAGAGTTAACTTGGTCCTGAAGCAGGCCATTTAATGTGTAAAGTTGATTTGCTGGAAAACAGTGCCAGAGGTATATATGTATTTTTATGAACTTACATATGTATAAAAAAACTCTGGATTGATGCACAAACATTACTGAATAGTTAACTGTGACATGAGTGGGGGATCCTCAATGAGTGAAAAATTAGAGCTTTGGAGGAAAACACATCACTGTATACAGTGTCCTCTTTAGATAATTTTTATGTTTTGCTAACATAAATATATTTATAAATTAAATAAATGATATGAATTAGAAAAAGTTATATATTGTGTGTGTATGAGAGAGAGAGAGATATGAAGAGATAAAGAGATAGGAGAAAATAAGAATATGAAGGAAAATAAAGAAGGCAGAAAGATATTTTTAGGTGACCTAAAATTGTGTAAGAGACCAGTTTCTGAAGTCTGACTGCCAGGTTTCAATTCTTGTCCAACAATTACTGGCTGTAAGACATGAAATATGTGACATATAGTCATCACTTGAACATCTTGGCTGGTAAAATAGAGATAAGACGAATAGTTCCTTATAGTAGACTCATCAATAAATGTTCTAAATTACTATTCAAAAATCTTTATTTTAAAAAAAGATTCCTGAAATATGCATGTAAATAAATTATGATTTGGCACTTTCATCATGCTTTATTAAGTATTTATTGACTCAATCAGAATTTGTAAAGTTGAAGTACATCTTAAGGGAATCTAGAATAATTCATTATTTTATTATTAAGCTTCTAGCATGAATAAACCTTTACTCATGTGTTAAATGTTGCACTAAAATGATAGTTTACAAGCATTTAATGATATATAAACATTCTTATACTAACTAACTGACAGAAACAGAATACCATATTGTACATGGAACAGAATCTCATCTAGAAAACATTTTTAATATATGGAAAATACATTAGCATTGTAATGGTGATTGCCCTATGGTGGTGAAAATTTGGGAAGTTTTATTTTCTGTGGAGTTTTTACCCTTTCAAATTAATTACTTTTTTTGTTTGTTTGTTTGTTTTGAGATGTTGTTTCGCTTTTTTGCCCAGGCTGGATTGCAAGTGTGCGATCTCAGCTCACTGCAACCTCTGCCTCTCAGGTTCAGGCGATTCTCCTGTCTCAGCCTCCTGAGTAGCTGGGATTACAGGCGCATGCCACCCGGCTAATTTTTGTATTTTTAGTAGCGATGGGGTTTCATCATATTGGTCAGGCTGGTCTCAAACTCCTGACCTCAGGTGATCCACCCGCCTCAGCCTCCCAAAGTGCTGGGATTACAGGCATGAGCCGCAACACCCAGCCCAAATTAATCACTTTTAATATATTTTATGACTAGCTTAAAAACGAAAAAGATGTATACAACGGGAAATATTGTTTAAGTGTTTTCTGCTATTGACCTTAAAATTATACTTTAATCAGACTTTCTTAGTCTCTACAATTAACTTTATCATAAAATATATATTTATTAAGAATAATAATGTATGAAGTCAAATTATAGATGATTACGTAAAGAAAGGAGCATCTTAGAAACATAAAGCGGCAAAACCACTTTTAATTCTCATACCAGTAGCCATTCCTAGTTGTGTGACTTTAACATAACATCAGGTATTTTTATAATTGAAGATCATCTCAATACATCTGGCATGGTGTAAGCGACCGCTCTTTGCCACGTAAAGTACTAGGTCTCTGGGCCTACATAACATTTTACAAATTTCATTTTCAATTCTTTACTTTGAGATTTGGTGAAACCTTTGGAGGTGGAAATCAGGGCTCACTTTTGAACATTTATACGTGAGATGCCTATTAGGCTGAGTAAGAAGCTGGACATAGACAGTTGGAGTTCACTGAAAAGACCAGTGCTAAAGATGCAAATTTGGAAGTGTTCAGCTTATCAACAGAATTAACATCATGAAGGTAGAGAAAACCTTTTAGGGAGAGGTTATTATAAATAAAGATGAAAGGGAACCAGGATGAAGCTTTCAGGTACTCAAATATCTCGATGTTGAGTGTATGAAGGAGATCTTATGATCAAGAAAGAATGACTAGTTAAATGGCAAAGAAAATAGTGTGGACATCAAAGGAACCGCTATGAGAATTATTGTGAGGAGATAATAAAATGTTGAATTTTTGAGTATTTTGTAAATGTAACATATTATTATTGTCCTCATTAGATATGAAAGGGGCATATTGTCAGAAGTAATCTGGAGGTGATAGTAAAGTTTTTTGGATTTACCTATCAGATGAGCTAAATCTAACAAGATGATGTCTGTCCGTCATAAACACGATCTTGAGATGAACACCAATTACTTTGAAAGAATAGATACAAGATGGGGAAACTGTACCTTAAACAGAACATCCTAAACAAATATAAAGTGAGTAAGATTCAAACGTATGCTGTGAAAGATGTAAGGAAGCTATGTAGTGGTTAGGACAATAAAGCAGAGTTAGAGACGATAACATGATGCACAGTAGTCTCATTGTGGATCTGAGCATAAATGATTTAATCTCTCTGATCCTCCATTTATTCATATGTGAAATGGAGAGAATTATGGTGGCATCCTATGAAATTCTATCTCATAGGATTCTCCATAGGAGTAATTAAAATAACGTTTGTAACGTGCTAATGACAGTGCCCAAGACAGCACTCAATATGTAGTAATTGACATCACTGCCACCACTACAGTCAATTGGAATTCAAATCAGGTGTCTCTCACTCCAAATGATCATGATCTGCTTTTACTCCTTTAGAACATTTAAGATCTTTGGT
The DNA here is from genome assembly GCF_000001405.40 of Homo sapiens. Lineage (NCBI taxonomy): Eukaryota > Metazoa > Chordata > Mammalia > Primates > Hominidae > Homo > Homo sapiens. The sequence continues at coordinate 99,436,080 of NC_000011.10, read as the reverse complement.
AGCGTTGTAATATGAGATCATGCATTAGTAGTACTGCATGAACTTAGAGAACATTTCAACCTTGAAATGTCTATGAAAATTTGATAAAATTATGAGTCATTTCAAAGTTGAATACGACCTTTTTAAAATAATTATAAAACCTTGCACTGTAATTCTGAATATATCTGTTACAGACCAGAACTACAATTTGTTACCATCTTCCCCATATACTTCCTCATATATAATTTCATGGCCTACATGGCCATGCCACAAATATGAGAATAAATGACAACCTAATTGAAGCTTGTCTATGTATACGATTCTCCAATAAATGATGGTAGGTCACTATGCAAGAAATAGTGTAGGTTTGGTTATAGACAGAACTAGTCCCAATATCAAGTACTGGATATTTTTAGTTGTACCCTATAAACAAGTTATTTGGCATATTTAAGACTTAGTGTATCCCTCTTTGGCAGAGTAAGTAATGCTCACCAAATATTTCCTATTTTCACCTACATTTCAAGCCCCATTTGCTGTTAAGTAGATGCATGTAACCAGATGTGGTTAGAGTATTATGAACTGAAGACGTATGTCATTTCTGTCTACAGCAGAGAGGGAGTAGGTGTGAGTTTCAGTGTGAGCTCTCCCTGTCACTGCTAGTGTGTAGAACCCCTGTTGAGATAGCAAGGCCAAAAAATTCCAGAAGACTTAATCCCTGAATCACCTCATGGGCAACAGCTGATATGTCACCTGGACAGCTGCAGAATATTCTTGAGCAAGAAATAAACTGTTTTTAAAAAGTATTGACTAAGATATGGACATTGTTTCTTAAGATGGCATAAGTATGATGTCTTGAAAAATGTACTTCTCATCTACAAAAAGATGACAATTTGACAGGAGAATTGTCAAATTGCCCTTTATATAATGAAAAGAAGAATATATTTGTCCTCCCAATATCATGTTGTGATATTACATTTCAGGAGCATTATTTCACACTTTAAAAATGGCATTGATACTAAAAGACTGATATGAGAATTATATATCAATACATTTATCTAGACTTAAGTCACATCATCCTCAAGTGTTTTGACTAAATGGTTGATGATTATACTCTTTGCTGAGAAATATATTAACAAAATTTGATCCTAAAATTGGATGCAAGATTAAATCTTAAATCATACGTACCAAATACTCTTGATTACTACCTTTTCTGAGAAATTGAGAAGTATGATGTTCATTTTAATTCAGAAATTTCTCTTGAATTGTCAAAACAACATGCCTAGCATAAATAGGAGTCTTCTAAATATATTCATATTTCCACAGCAATTTTTGGGCACCTGTTATACAGAAATATGCTTCTGAAAATGAATAATTTAAAAGAAACACATCTGTTAAAGACAAATCACTTTATCTCTTCAGCTACTATCAGTAGATTTCAAAGTTCCTATTGGTAATAATTATTAAAACGGCTCTGATTTGAGAAGCTGTGTCCTACGTTGGAATAAACTTGCCGTATGTTATTGCTTAACACAGACTTCAAAAGTTGTGAGAAAATTGGATTATGGTAAAGACTTCTGGGCATAGCAAAGAAAATTAAAAGCTATGCATCTTACTTGCTGTTGCATGGAACTAGAGGAAATTATTTAAATGATTTAGCTTTACCTACAATATATAATATAATGTTGTACATTGTTTCATAAAACAAAAACCTCCGAATCTCAAGTCAGTCAATTTTCTCTGCTAACTCAAGCATGGAATATTGCTAATTTTCATACATCATTTTAGAAATGGCAAAATATTTCCAAAAGAATGTATATTATCTACTGTTTTTTCAGAAACATGCTGCATGACATGGAAATTGCATCAAAATATATTTTTCCACAATATTGAAGAGGAAATTAAGGCTGTGGTGCCAAATAATACATCACATAGTCTTAATCTTGCTTCTTTCTTTAATGAGATAATTAAATAATAAAACAAATTAGACCACCTGTTTTTCAGCCGAAGATTATATTGGGGCCTGGAACTGTGATCTTCATTGTAGGTATGGCACTGAGCACAGTGTCCCTGAATATATAAGAAACAGTAGTAATAATCACTGTATCTTCTGACAAGTCTTTTTCTGATCTGCTTTTCCGCTTTCTCAAAGAAAAATGTTCATTTCTTTTAGCTCTGTAAAACACAGTAAAGCACCACCTGCCTTAGGTGACTAGGAAAGCAGCTGTATCCCTGTGTCATCAAACGTAGAGGGATTTATAATCACTGTTTAAATTTTGATTCCCTCTTTAAAAAACTTTCAAGAGATTTACATTTAATAAATAACATCTTTTAGCTTCATCAACTATCCTGTATTGATTGAATTGACTTCACACTATTTTCTGATCTTAAGAATTGTACAAGTTAGAAAAGTGTCTTCTCAATGTCTTGAATATTATTGAATCACTCTGTTTCATAATGGTATTCATTGAAGGTCAAAGCTTGATGTATTCGGCAATACTTTAACTGAATACCTATCAGAGAAGATTAGAAATAAACACAAGGATACCCTTCATGAATTAAAAGAAAATAATAAATATCTTTAATACTAGGCACCTTACTAGAAATGTGAACAAATTTTGATTTACAGTAACTGATATGTTTATCATAAAAATAAAACCTAAAAGTTTAACTATAACATAGACACACACACACACACAAAGACACACACACACACACACACACACACACACATTTTTTTTTTACCAGATAAACTACAAGGAAAATTATGATTACAGTTTTTTCTCTGTTCTCTCTGAAATCAGTCAGTCAGTAGCAAAATTACTTATATTTTCAACATCTTTTCTAAACCTTCCCTTCTTCTAAACAAGATTGGGTTCTCCCCAGAGGACCTTGCTTTCTCTGCTGTACTCTCAAGCAGTCATGTTTTCTCTACAGCACAATTCAGAGCACTGGGCTGGGAAGTGAGGTAAATGTCCTCTTTGTTCCTCAGGCTGCTTTCAAAATTTCAGATTTCCATCCTCTGAAAAGTTCCAGCTTTGAAGGTTAGGCCATCAATCTACACAGTCCACTAAACCTTTTTTTTTTTTTTTCCTGGTAATCATTTATATTCATGGAGTCACAACGCTCATTCTTTCAGTATTTACCATCTAGCTACTGCCTCCTTCCTCTCACAGTGTGTACTTTCTTGGTGGTATCAGTTTCAATGTGGTGAACATTCTAGTACTCTTGCATCTCAGTTCCATAACAGCCTTCACGCTAATAATTCAGCCACCCATCATACTTCCGCCAGCCACTCCATATATATAGCATCATGGCATCACCCACAATCTCATCCCTTTCATTACAGTAATTTTACAGACACATCTCTCCAATTTCATCTTCTATTTTCTGGCTCACTCATTCTAATATCTTCATTCCAGCAAAGACTTTTACTATATAGACCCTAGCAGCTTTTCGCTCTCACTTGCCCTGAACTGCTCTCACTCTTTCCTCACCCAAGAGAGATATTATGACTGTTTGTATAAACACTTCCTGACATGTTCTCAATATACTACCCCATTCGCCCCTAAAAAAGAAACAAAGACAGAGAGAGAGAAAGAAAAGAAAGAAAAGAAAAGAAAAGAAAAGAAAAGAAAAGGAAAGAAAAGAAAAGAAAAGAAAAGGAAAGAAAAGGAAAAGAAAAGAAAGAAACAGAGCCCCAACTCTGGTTAAATCTTCTACGTAGTTACTTTTTTTGTATCTGTGCAGTTGACGGTATCTGGAAACAAAATAGAAATCCCAAATCCTATAACCTCAATTTATATCTCTTAATTGTCTCCTCCAAATTTGCCCCTGCCCTCTGTTTTTCTCATGTAAGTGAATGACACATGTAGTTTTCAGTTTCTGAGACCCAAAACATGGTGGTTGTGAAAAGAAAATAAAATCTTAGGCCCGCAATTGAGTATCACAAAAGGGATATATTAAGCTGAAAGCTGAGTCATGCAAAAAACTGCCTTCCCTTTTATTCCTAAGCAAATAGTTGCAGATTAAGAGCTAGAATATCTCCAAAGGCAGCTACTCTCACCTAAAGTGCGGACTTACTGGAGAGGAATACATATTTGACTATCCCCCCACCTGCTCCTTTCGTCTTGAAACATGTGGACTGAGTATTGTGACCATACCCTCCCTCTTGACCCTCCAGCCCCTGTTTCTGCTTTAAATACTCAAGTCCTCACATGTGGATTGAGTAAAGTGACCATGCCCTCCCTCTTGACCCTCCAGCCCGTTTCTGCTTTAAATACTCAAGTCCTCAAAATTATCTTTGGAAAAAGGCATGGATCACAGATTGTTCCTGTGGATTGCTGTTCCTTTTTTTAGGCATGTCATTAACGCTGGCAAAATAAACTTCAAATTGATTAAGACCTCCTGTCTCAGATACTTTTTGTTTTTACCAATTGGTGACCAATGGAAGGGACTCTGACTGGAGATGACCCTGACCCATGACAAAACTCCTATTGGTTCTTAGTACTAGCCTGGGCTATCTACAATGCCCAAACCAACATGACAATTTGCTGAGATCTGGGAGTTTCCCCCCTCCAAGGAATTCCTGATCTCCCCAAATTTCATTGAGATCTAAGGTTTATTTTGATGTACAATTCCTTTTCTAGAATTTTACTCATTTCCATTAAAAAAGTGAGTTTTCCTGCTTCCAGGATGGTGGATGGCTAGCAGCTCCTTTCCGGAGTTTCAGCTGGCTTTCAACAGGGAGGGTAAGTATGAGCTTTTTCCTCCTTCTATGTTGGTAGAAAGCAGTCTTCAGTCTGGGCCCCGTTTCTATATTAAGTACATGAATTTGGAGTTTTGTCTTGGAAAGTTTTCCTTAATGACTAAAAGTAAAGACTGACAACAAGCTGGTCTTAATTTCTCCTTACCATCAGAGCTCTAAATAACTGTATTTTCATTGTTGTTGTTGCTGTTTCAGTCTTTCTCCCATCAGATTTGACCAACTCTACCTGACTTGGTCAAATCCGAATGAGAGTTCCGAGTTATGCCTAACAAGGCCTTTTAAAATTGCTGAAATACTCTGCAGTTGCAAAAAGAAATGAGAGGAAAAAAAAAAAAAAACAGCCAGGAAAAAGGATCCAAAAATTTTTTTTTGGCTACTTGATGGGTTTCATCTACAGCAAGGCCACCTTTTACTAACCAAGCTACCTCCAGTTTTTCTTCCAGAAACAGCAATGACAGCCACCTCACACCGTAGTTCGGTAGATAAGATTCTGCCCTTTTCACTAAGGCAGCCTGGGTTTGGTTTGATATTTATGTAGTAGGAGATTTGAAGGGATTTCTTTTATTTTTCTTTCTTCCTTGTCTTTTTCTCCCCGCCCCCCCAACCTTTTGTTTTGGAGGCCTATGGTTAAAATCAGCTTAATTAAAAGCTGATATCCAAGCTCTTTCTCTCTATATAGATAGCTACCCTCTCTCTTGCTCTCTCTCCATGTGTGTATATACATATGTGTGTGTCTGTATATACATATATAGTATACATTAGGAGGCCCATGGTTAAAATCAGCTTAATTAAAAGGTGGTATTCAAGCTATATATATATAGAGAGAGAAAAGAGAGCTATAAATATATAAATATATATAAATCTCTTATATATATATAAAGGCCTTATAAATATATTTAAAGTTCTTATGTATATAATGCCTTTATATATGTGTATATGTATATGTATATACACACATGCGTGCACACATATATATATATATGATTTTACACTTCTCTTTTCGGATCTTGCTTTTCGGAATTTTTTTTAGTTTACTGAAACCTTTCGTTTTTTTAAACAAAAAAGAAAACACGTGCTTAATTTCTCTGTTCCATTTCTTTCTTAAAAATCATTATTTAATTTACTTTTCTTCTACCCTATTCCTCCTTTCCCCTTTACCATCTTTGGTATCAAGTGAAAAAACATCTTGAGAAGGAGTCTAATAACTCACACCCCTTAAAAGTCACAGCATAAAGGTGCCACACACCCCTCTTTTGAGGTCTTCTGCTTTCTCTGTGGAGTTTCAAGAGTCATTGGTGAATTCTTCTCAGGTCTAAAGCTCAGCTTCCTTGCATTTAGTTACTTGATATTCTTAGCTTTTGAGGGTATCAAATATTATTTTGCATGATGATAACTTTTTTTTTTACCATGGTCTGTGTGACAGCTAGGTAATATGCTTTTAGAGATGGCTAAATGGCAGCTGCTTACAGTAAATAGTTGTTACTATGGGGGCGGGGGCTACTCTCAGTGTGTTTAAAATAAGAAAGGGTACAGTTTAAACACTTAGAGAAATGCCTTAGTAACAAAGTGTACTGTAAAAATATTATATGGCCTATTCCCATGATCTCTCCTTTTTGGAGAACCAGGATTAAGTGTAGACTCTGCCCCGTGCTCAGAGGTCCAGTTAAAAGATAGAGCCTAAATTTAAAACTGCCTTTATAAGTAAAATTGTACTCCTTAAAAAAAATCCTATGGTACGGTAGATTTCTACAATTTAATGTTTGGCATGGTATCCATTTTTAACCTTCCTCTAACACACTCAGACTCTCTCTCTCTCCCTTTTGCTGTCCTTTGAGATGTGTATTTTGCTATCTGATTTTCACCTAAGAATTGTTCCTTTAGTATGCAAATTTAGGGCTCTCTGACAATTGCCTAGGGTAATGAAGTAGATTATCAAGAAAAGTGAAGTTTAAAGTAGGGGTGGAATAAAAGTCTTATGAGTCTATCAGATCTACTTCTGTCTATGTGTCTATACCTGTATGTATTTATGTGTCATATATATAATGTCTCACTATCAAAAATATATAAAAGAGCTCTAATTAATTGGCTTAAATAAAAAAGCACTTAAATACTATATCAGAAAAAAAACTTTAAGCCCAAATGCTTTTTCAAGTTCACATGACTTAAGCAAATCTTTAATAAATAAGGTGGCTTTAGAATTATTGGTAAAATAAAATTAGAAATGTCCTCAGAATTATACACATACATTATTATACATTAGATTTATTTTTCCAGAGGTTTTATAATTATATCTGCTAGATATTATAAGCTGTCAAAATTTGGCATGAAGATTTTAATGCTATAAATGCAGCTCAAAACAGAATTATCTTTGTGTAATTTTTTTATAAATAAGGCATTTTGTATTACTGATTTAATGAAAATTGCTAAATCCTGGGTTATTGGCAAAAAACTGATTTATTGAACCTTAAAGTTCTTGTTTAGATAAACAACTAGACATTCACAGGCTAAAAACAATTGTTAACAGGAAAATAACTTTAAATGATGACTAGCTTTGTCTAATACTGCAGTTTTTCTAAGTAATCTAAATAAACTATTAAAAATAGTAAATTAGGGAAATGTAATGGAATAAATGCTTATACATAAACATATAATTTAGAATCTTGAAGTTATATTATGTTAGATAATAGATATTCATTAAATATCTGGGTTATTTTCAATTAAAGATATATACATATATTAAAGAAACATCTTTTTTTTCCTTTTTTTTTTTTTTTTTTGAGACAGGGTCTCACTCTCTTGTCCAGGCTGGAGGGGAGTGACACAATCTTGGCTCACCAAAGCCTCCTCCTCCCAAGTTCAAGAGATCTCTCACCTTAACCTCCCAAATAGGTGGGACTACAGGGACATGCCACGAAGCCCAGCTAATTTTTGTATGTTTTTGTAGAGATGAGGTTTCACCATATTGCCCGGGCTGGTCTTCAACTCCTGAGCTCAAGTGATCCACCCACCTTGGCCCTCCGAAGTGCTGGGATTAAAAACGTGAGCCACTGTATTCAGCTGTAAAGCCTTTTTTTTCTTAAAAAAGTTATTAAAAGAAAAATAATTTTTGTTTAATTCAAAGGTTGTTTATAAAACAAGGTAAAAGGAAGTAGTAAATAAGGCAGTTGTAAAGAAAGTTATAAAGAGGTAATTTTGGTAAGTTAAAAGGAAAATAATTTTCTATGAGAACAAATTTTGTACAGTAAATTATTGGCCTGAAATAAAATGACTGTTTATTTAAGAAAGAGGAATAATTAGGCTAAAAGAGGAAGTCTAAGCATCTCACAAATTTCTATAAGTCTTAATAAGGTTTGTAAAAAGAAAATGTATGGAAAAGTTTTACGTGATTAAGTTGGCTAAAATTAAAAGGAAATTATTAATAATAGTCTTTCTAGAGATTGGGTTTGATATTAAAAATACACTGATACACAAAATAATTGTTTAAAAAACCAAAATTTCCTTAAAGTATTCATTTGTTCTTAATAGAATTATAAGAAATTTTAACTTTTTTTTTTTTTTTTTTTTTTTTTTTGAGACTGAGTCTTGCTGTGTCACCCAGGCTGGAGTGCAGTGACAGGATCTCATCTCACTGCAACTTCTGCCTCCCGGGTTCAAGTGATTCTCCTTCCTCAGCCTCCCAAGTACCTGGGACTACAGGTGTGTGCCACCATGCCCAGCTAATTTTTTGTATTTTTAGTAGAGACAGGGTTTTACCGTGTTAGCCAAGATGGTCTCAATCTCCTGACCTCATGATCCGCCCGCCTCGGCCTCCCAAAGTGCTGGGATAACAGGCGTGAGCCACCGCGCCAGGCCCAAGAAATTTTCACTTTTAATCCAAAAGCTTAACTTCTATTATGTCTTGCTGTTTCCGGCTTTCTCTCCCCTTTGAGAAGGCCTGAGATAATAACTCTTTCCTTCAAGTTTTTCATCAGTTTTTGTAATTATTTCCCCCCTCAGGTTCTAACTGTTGTTGTGGCCTAATGCTAAAAATATTTTATCTTCAAGATCTAAAGAAAATGTTTTCTTCTGATGTAACATTCTGTACTCTTGGCTTTTCTTAATATATCTAAATTGTTCTATGAAACTGAAAACCTTCACTTACGATTCAGGACACACTTTTCCTATGTCTGATTAAATAATTCATGTACTCTTTTCAATAGTTTTGACTTGCAGGTTATGTAAATGGACCCCTAACAGAGGAAAGCAACCTCACTGCAGAAGGTTTTTGTTTTTGTTTTTCTGCCTTTCGGTAACTGGCCTAAGAAACAGATTTTATGTTTTATCGAAATAATTTCTATGCCATTGTTATTAAGTTTCTGATTTGCTTAGTAAAACTGAGATTTAAAAATACAAGATTATTATATCCATGTAATTTTCTGTATTGCTTTTAGAGTCCCTGTACTGTTAAGTTACAGGGCTATGATTCCTGAGTCTAAAAAGGACACCAACTCCTTCTAAATCATAAACACTTACAGTAGCCTTATCTTCAGACCTGGTAGAATATGACAATCAAAATAATTTGCATTCATGAGATACAAGGCCACAAATTAGAACTATTCAAATCCTCCAGGCCCAAGGACTAACATGGAAGACGTGGACGCAGGAGACTGTAAGGGCTAATTTTCAGAGAAAATTAGTTCAGTATTTTTCGATAAATTAAACATTCATATCAAAGGCACTGATACAAGACCAGCATTTGTGCCAGTGTGTCAGATTAACGAAGTTTTCTGGCAGCTTTAACCACTCTTTAATTAAAAAAATTGTAAAAGATTATAAAAAGGCTTACGAAAATTCTGTCTTATGGTCAAGATGATTAAAATTTAATAGATTTGTTTATAAGAATTGAGAAACATATTTAGCTGGCCTCATGATGTCTTTATTAGGTCTCATTGTTTATGAAAGTGAGTCTCCTTTCTAAAAGAGTCAGAGTTTTTGCCCTTTTTTTGGAAATATTTGTATTACCACTTTGGATAAATGAATGACTTATTTTACAGTTACCTGTGATCCTATTTTGTGATATCAAGTGTTTTAAACCTCTGTTATTTGGCAAACTGGCAAAAACCAAATTGTAAATTCAGTCTTTTTGACTTCATCAATTTTTTTGATATGAGGCCCCCTGAAGTCCAAAAGAGAAATAGTCAGATTTTTGGTATAATAAAATCATACAGGAAGCATTGTCAAATATGAAATGGTGTTTAATTCTTTTTAGATTATATTTTTATAAATATGCTATTAATATGTGTTGCAAAATTGTATGAGGTTCCTGTGATTCTGTTATTTCTTAGTATATGTTATCAGTAGTAATTATAATTATGTTAGATTGCTGTTTGCCACATAAATAACCAAATTTCCTTGTCAATTCCATCTCTAACCATGGTTGTGATGGCAGCAGTGACCTTTCTGGAGCAGCGCTGTGAAGACACTGGCTGCAGTGGGGGAGGAGTAGCCAGGGCTATGTGCCCCATGGATCTGGCAGAGGTGAGGAACAGGTGGAAACCATGCCCCTACTGAGCTGGCAGGAGCCCCACACTCCAGGGTGCAGTTGCAGCCACCCAGCCATGGCTGCAGACCTCGGCATCCCTGCATTCTCAGAGGCTCAGGAAGCAACCCCTGCCCTTGAAAGCTCCTAAGTGTCTGCTCCCACTCTCTGGCCTCTTTCTCTGCTCCTGGCACCTGCTCCAGTGCACAGCAAAGTTGTGGCTGGGCGTGTGCACTGTTGCAAACCAGGGAGTGTGCACACATTTGGGGTGGTGCTGTTATGCCAGCCCCCTACCCCCACCCCACCACCTTGTCCCTCTACAAACTTTGGGCACCACATAGCACAGCAGAGAGGCAAGGGGTGGTGTGGGTGTCTTGGCCTGGGCCTGCAGGCATCTCTCAGCACGAACAACCTTGGCGCCATGGATGGCATGTTGATGGCAGGAGACAGACAGGTTCCTGGAAGGAAAGCGGAGGGTCCTCAGTGAAACCCTACCTCCAAAACAAAAACAGCCTGAAGCCTGAGGGCCGGGCTGCCAGTTCTGGGTGAAGTCCCTGGCCTGGAGTGAGGACTTCATTGATGACTGTTTGGCCAATCAGATGGTTGTTTTTCCAGGTCTGCCTATGGCCACCCATGGACCAATCAGCACACAATTTTTCCCTTAGGAGCTCATAAAAACCCCAGACTCAGCCAGACTCACAGAGACATTGGGATTACCAGCTGTGGGACGGAGCTACCTGCTACAGGTCTCCTCTATGTGGACAGCTGGACATTCATCAGGATAACCTGCCCATAGAAAGGAGCTACCCACTATGGGTTTCCTCTCTGCTAAGAGTTGTACACTCATCAGGACAACCTGCCTGTGGAAAGGAGCAACCCACTTTGAGTTTCCTCTGAGCTGTTCTGTCTCAGTGACGCTTCTCTCTGCCTTGCTCACCCTCCAGTTGTCCACGTACCTCATTCTTCCTGGACATAGAACAAGAACTCAGGACCCATTGAATGGCCCGACTGAAAGAGCTGTAACACAAACAGGGCTGAAACATGTCCCTGCTTACCATGTTGTGGGCGATGAAAATAAGAGAAGAGCTGCAGTCCTTCTGGCAGCCCAGACATAGGAGCTCCCTGAGCCAGGGCTGTGACACCCTCTTTGGGGCTCTGCCATTCCTGGCATCTCCAAGCTTGTGGGCACCACCATGTTCCCCAGTGCTCACAGTGCATGCCACTTACATTACGTCTGGCCCAGCTGCAGCCTCACATGGAGCTCGTGACTGTGCCAGTGCCAGGAGCTGCCTGCCTGCCTTAGCTGGCATGCCTGGCTGTGTTCAGTGGCCAGACCCAGTGATCATTTACACACCCCTTGCCGCTCCACACCTGGCTCACCCTTCGCAGGCGTGAGGTTGAGGCCGGCAGCATGAGCTGAGTGCAGCATGCTGGGTGCCACCAGCCACAGAGGTTTCCAGCTGGGAAAGCGACAACCCCCAGATCCCACGACACTTTGTCCTGCATTTCCACTTATGCTACCCACCCATTAGTCACTTGTAGAGGTCTTGGTTATCAGACCCACTGTTTAGATTGTAGTGCTTGTCTTCAGGTAATCCTTATTATACTTAATAATGGCACCAAAGTACAAGAGTATTGATGTTGCCATATTGTTAAAATTGTTCTATTTTATTATTAGGTTATTGTTATACATCTTTTACTGTGCCTAATTTATAAATTAAGCTGTATCATATGTATGTATGTATGTACGTATAGGAAAAAACACAGTACTTACTGTGTCCACAGTGTTAGATATTTGCCAAAGTTTCAGACACCTAATGGGGTTCTTGGAACTTATGACCCACAAATAAAAGGGAACTGTTATACTCTAAGGTTTTAATATCATTCAAACCTAAACGTCCTTTAAATGGTCTACAAGGCCTTATAATACTTGATCATACACCACCGCTCCCCCACCCCATACCCACCCTAGTCGAAATCACTAGTCTTATGCTGCCTCTCTCTCAGCTCCTTATCTAACCTTGTCACTCAAAGCCTGTACTGTGGACAAATGGCATTGGCATCACCAGGGAACCTGTTGTGAATTCAGAGATTCAGATCTCACTTCACAGTCATCAAAACAGAATCTGCATTTTAAATGGATCACCAAGCAATTCCTATGCACATTAAAGTTTGAGAAGCACTAATGTAGGTATTACTAGAATGAGAAAAAATACAGATTAAAAATAAGAGGCTTAATTCTCACTGTTGAAAATAGGAAATAGATTTTCCTCCGTTCCCATTTTGTTAGTAAGTTTACCTTAGAAACCTGAAAATGTAAGTACTTTTTCTGTTTCTTTGAAATGTATATGAATATTTTTAGAAACTAAATAAAGCTTTTGTCAGCTTTATGACCAAGGAATGTCTTTCTCAACGACCAAGGAGCCATCTCTTTGAAATGTAAACATCATGGAAAATAAGGTTCCTATCTCTCAGTTTCTGCTCGAGGGTGGAAGCCTCACTTCAGTGGGCACCTTGCTGCAAACTGCAAGACTAACTCCTGTCATAAAGATAGAAGCTGCTTTTTCCTCTGAGTAAAGACCATAGCTAACACAGATAGTCACTCCAATCACCAGGTAAAGTTAAAATGAAGTATATGTGACAAATAGTCCTGTCAAGTCCTCTTTAGGACTACTTATTGTTCATCTTGAAAAGACATATGTAATGATATGTATCTGCTTGGCTCTACGTAAAGGTGGGATTTCTCTCTCTGCCGTATTTTGCTGTACCTGCAGTCTCTTAGTGTATTTCCTGTGATTGCATCACATTCTATTTACATGCTTATTCAATAACGAAAATGTTTTCTTCCTCTATTATCTTTGTAGAGAGGATTTCTGGGTTAGGAGAAGATTTTGTTTTTAATTATATTTCCCCAACATCTGCAAGTCTTAAATTGGAAGTTTAGAAGATGCACTTATTAGTCTGCAAAAATCTCAAACTTACCCCTTGTTCAAACTACTCTTAGCCACACTGGCTTCCTTTAAGTTCTTTGAACATTCCAAACATTTTACACTACTGTTTTGTCTTCCTGCAAACTCATCCCCAGGATGTCTCACTTAAGAAGACTGTCAATTTATCAAATATTTATTCTTCCCTGTTTCATTAATAAAAAACCCTCTCTATTCCCTTTGCTTCTACACTCTCTTTGTTTTACATACGTAACAAACCTGCACGTTGTGCACATGTACCCTAGAACTTAAAGTATAATTAAAATACAGATATATATATATATATATATATATATATATATATATATATATAAAAATATAAAGTAACATGAATCGCTTTTGTTTTTCAATAATCAGGATGTAAACCCTGTTAGGACATACATTTTCTTTATTTTGTTCCCACCTCTACCTGTCCCAGTACCTAAACGATTCCCCTGATATAATGTGTATGCAAAGACTATTTGGAGACTAAATTAGAGAGTGAGTTGTCATTCATAGGAATGTGTAATGATACTAATCAAATGCTTAAAAAACAAAAATATCAAGCTTTTCACTTCAAAAAACAAAAATATCAAGCTAATTAACCCAGGTTGCATATTATGATGATTTTATGACTGCCACTATTTAAATTATTACTGAACAGTTAAATGTTAAAAACAAATTAAACCTCTTCTTTCTTGTTCTCCTTTCAAAGTTCTGTTCATGATTCTTCCCTTTGTCTCCTTTCCTACTCTAGATTTCCGCCTCTCACTGACTTGATTGCTCTGATGACCTCAATCAAAAGGCAATTACCTAGTGAGGGTAGAAGGTAATTATTCCTATCAAGTAGAGATTGAACACACCTGAATAGACAGCTGCAGTTCTTTTCAGGTTGACATTACCACAAAATTTGACTCTGAAAATTTGTGATGCATGTAAAATCTATGATAAGTTGTTTTTGATTTATTTGCAAGATTTGTAAGACAGCTATTTTTTTTTTCCTAGTAAAAGCCATATTTCCAAAGGCAAAGTTAATAGGCAGTGAATTGGATTCAGAGAAACCAAAACATTTACTCAAATTTCTAAATTAAACTTACAAAGCAAACAACACTCTGATCTAACTTAACTGGACTAAGAAAATATTGCAGAAATTACCCCTAAATGTATATTTATAAAGCTCATAATATTTTGAAACATGCAATGCGGTGTCATCCAGAAATGCAAAAAAGTCATAAAATGGCAAATTGTTTTCAAACATCAAGATTGTCATAAGTCAATGTCATGCTACATAAAGCCCATTAAAAATCCAAAGGTGCTATAATTTCTTGATATGAAATTAGTTTCAATTGGGGAGTTTTTAACAAAGCTGCTTGCAACAGCGACGAAGAGCAAATGATTTTAATCCTGAATTCTGTTCTTATTCCTATAGCTTCCTTCTACAACAAGGATGTACAGAGCCCATTCTTCTTCCCAGTTCTCTGGGTAGCCTCTTTAGAGTGAAATTAGAGCACTGGTCATTGAATTATTGTCAAAATTCTTCACTAGTAGAAGTTATCTTCTATATATTTGTTTGTTTCACCTCTCTTCCACAATACCATAAACTCTGTAAAGGAATCTGAGGTATGTTGTCCGCCCATGTATCCCCTGAGCTTATAGCAGTGTCTAGCACACAGTAGGTACTCTATGAATATTTATTAGGCGGAAAAAAAAAAAAAACCTCAATGAATAATACAGAGCTTGGATCTCCCCCTAAGTGTAAACAAAAGTTCTTCTTATTCAGCTTTGCATGCTCTTTCTGATGAAAGACACAATTATAATTTCCAGGCAATAAGGAAGAGAGCTAGGAAAGAATGAGAAGAAGATGCCTGAAAGAAGGGCCCTGCTATCCATGCTTCCGAGAAGCTGTGATTCTGTAACAGTGCAATTGGGAGCAGTGCTGCCTTCACATGGACAGCAAAGGGCAGGAATACTGAGAATTCCCAGGTTCTCTGTCCTCATGAAAGTAAAATTCAAGTAGGAAATAGGAAATATATCAAAATTTTATTTCAACCCAAGAGAGAAAATGTCTATCTTGCCCATATTTTCTTATGTAACCACAAGACCTGACAGTTAACCAGTGAAGCAGCCATTTCTTTTCAGCTGCCTTTGATTGACTGCTTTCAATTTATCAGGCATTCAACAAGGTACTTTTTCATCGTAATCTTATTTAATCCTTTCCACAACTCAATTATGTAAGCATTATCATGGCCCTTTTCAGACTAGGATTCTGACAATTAGGAAGGCTCTACATGTTGTTCAAGTTCTGAAATGGCCAGAATTTGAGCTGTAGAAGCTTGCTCTTTTTATGACAACACTAGAGGTTTTTAAAAAATTTTTTGAGTGTGACATTATGTATGAAAATTCTTATTATGTGCTACCATTAACACTGAAATATCTTGTTTTTCACTTTAAGCTAAAATTTCTAAAATCCCAGGGCTTGCATGCACACTGCATGAAAATTAATATTTATCTAAATTATGACATGCAGTTGATACATCATTTTGGGGATAACCTTTTTCCCAGATTTTTTTTGACTTACGTTTTTTCAAAATACTTTTCTTTGAAGTAATTTCCTTTCTGTCAAAGGAGACCAGATGACTAATTGTTCAAGTTTCACCAAAAAGAGCATTTGAACCAAACCACCGTACCAGTCAATGGAGTCACGGTTCTGCAGCCTTGTATCCGGGGAATTTATAAGTAAATAGAGGGCTGCACTAAATCACCTCTAACAATTTTTTAACACTAGACATGTCTGTTTCCCCAGCACCTTGGATTTACCTTGACTATAGCACTTCTCCTACTTTATTTAATTTTCTGTCTCCTTCCTTAAACTGAATGCCTTGCAGACGGAGACTCCTTTTTTTCACTATCATACATTTGGTGAAGACCACCATGCTAGATACATGGTGTTTGCTGAACATTTTTTGAATTAATGAAATTAATTAAAAGACCTCTGTTGAGTTACAGGGAGAAGTCATTAATTGGGATATAACAATAACAATAATTTGTAAGAAAATACCACAATAGAAAGACTGTGAAACAAATATTGCCAATCCACTGCCAATTTGTATTTCATCAGAAATTTACATAACTTTCTCCAGCCACACCCCTCCCCCCACTCCAGCCCTACTGAACAACTCAATCTACTGTAAGTAAAAGATACTATTTAAAAATTGGGAATGATACATGCCCTTCATTAGCTACAGTCCATATAACTCTGGCTTAGTATTGTCACTAATTTCATTGCTGTCAGGCTCTGTTTTTAACACTTCCAGCCCTAATAAGCTAAAACAACCAATTAGCCCTTCTTGGCACAGCATGGTTTCAACATTCATTCAGCTTGTTAGAGGATTAAAACAGAAGCAACCACTTAACCCAGAAATAAATAATTACAATAATTTGTAAGACAAATTTTTTTTAATATAAAACAAACCTCTCAACTTCTTAGAAATTCACTTAGTTTCATTATCCATTCAACAAACCGACAAGCATATCCCAAGCTCTAGAAAATGAGTAAAGTCATCACATACAGTGACTGGTCTATTTACATCTCCAGAGGGTGCAATTCACATTGACTGCAGTTTGAATACCATCCCTGAGGCTGTGCAGTGCTGTTGTGCTCAGGTAGGTGATGATGGTGGCAAGATCTCTGCCCTCTGCATAGTTGATGACATTTTCTAAGAATTAGAATATGGGGAAGTGGTCATAAACTTTGCTGTTTGTTTACTTTGGCACTTGCTTAGTGGCAGGCACTGTATTATGTAGAAACTTGACATTCCTTATCATGCATAATCCTCCCATTTTATAGTTGAGGACACTGAGTATTAGAAGGCATAGCAAACTGCCATAGCTAGCTAAGTGGCAAAGCATATGTTATCCCATACAATTCATCTGTCTCCAAAGCTTGAACTTTTCCACAATTCACACAGGTAACTTTAGAATGATTAAAAGGCTTGTATGACATAAAGTAGGACATGGACTTTATTTGGAGGCATCATGAGGAGTTTAATTCAGGATCACGACATGATTCGACAGATACTTAAGAAAAATAACTAGCAAGAGTAAGTAGAACAGGTAATGAGTGTAATTTACTGAAAAGGCACTTGTCAATTACATTAGAGCCATGGGAAGAAAGAAACCCCAAACAAGTCTTTTTAATGACAGTTGAAATGGTTTCCAAAATGAAGTGCATCAGGTTAGTCTCAATAATCAGAAATCATTGTCTGTACCGAAAACTTCCAAAAAGAAAAGTAATTTTAGCTAAAGATCAAATAATCCAATTAAATGTTCTTGGATCCAATTAAATCCAATTAAAAATTTGCAGCATCAATTATCCCTTTGGACATGTTATCTGAACTTGAGCGCTTTTAACACCCTCTTCTTTCCAGGTCTTTAATGGCTTGATGTCAACTTGAGTTTTACTGTCTTTTCTTGCCTATGGATCTAGTTAAAGAAATGTGCCAAAACAAGCAAAAATTATTCACATAATTTATTTTCCACATAGAGTAAGAATAACTCATACCTTTTTTTTAAAGTTGTTGTTTTCATGTTGGTTCTTTAAATTTTTTTGTTTTTCCATTTAAAAACTAGAAGTAATTTATTTTTAGCAATGTAGTCATGAAATTATCCCAATATTCTTCTCTACTATTTTGATTGAAGTTACACAGAAATTGCAAGTGTAATCTTGGATTAACCTTAGCAAGGCTGACTTTTCTAGCAGTATTGTAACCAGCAGAAATAAAAGAGAAGTGCATTAGATACTTTAAAAACCTTGAGCAGTTTAAATTACTTCTGTGACCAAGGCTATATATTCATAAATCTGAAAAGAGTTGTCCAAGTCAGCATAACTTAAATTTACAAGAGTAACTTCTCAGAGATCACCGTTTAAACATGAAACTTTTCTAATGTTACCACAATTGAATACATCTCATTGCACTCAACTGAATGCTTCAACTCACCAAAATGGGGACAATAAAGTCTATTAAGTCTAACAATAGCTAGTAATGGTTTTAGTATCCAAAGAATGTGATTTATAATTTGTGTTTATTGAAGATTAAAAGTAATAAATAAAAATCCTACTTGTGACACCATGAATTTACAAAAGAATGGAAATGAAGAGTCTCTGCTTTCATGGGACAATACTTACAATTGAATAAGCATTAGATTCTTCAACTCAGCCTTTTATTTTCCTAGATAATAGTACAATTTAACATAAAATAGTAGGAATAATTGAGCACTTCAACTCAACACAATGGCTATAATAAAGTCTATTAAGACACATTTACAAATAAAGTGAAATCAAACTCTTAATGAAACATCTTTTGTGCATTTCTAGCAAAAACTTAACATTCACACCAAGTTGACGGTACATTGTGAATAGTGTTTTGTTGTATACTAAGTGTAGATTAACATATTCACTTATGTCATTATTTTATACTTAGCAATTTCTTCCCTGAGATAACCACTGTCTAATTAAAAATGTGTTTTAATAATCCGTGTATTTTTGACAAATCAAGCTTTGCCTGTCAAACCAATGAGTGTGTTTAATCTACATATTATCACACTAATATTGGACCAAGACTACCTAATATAAAAATAACTTATTGAAAAATAATAGAAAGATATAAAATGTATTCACGCTGCTATTTGACAAGTTAGACCAAGTTGGGTTTTTTTAACTTGATTGAACAGTAATTTAAAAATTAATTTTAAAAAATAATTCATTGACACTTTATCTGTGAAGGTCATTGATTTTAAAGTCAATTTGCGTTTGTTGTTCAATTCTAGTTTGGATACACAGAAAAATAGGTCAGTCTCTGCCTCTTGGAGTTTAAAGCCTCATAAGCAGATACTTTCAGTAAAATGTACAAGTGCAAAGTAGAAGTAGTTGTGGAGTCCTGATATGAGTAAGTAACAACAAGGAAGAGCTCCCAAGTGGGAGAGAACAATTGTTCTAAGACACAGCTATTTACAAACAATTCACTGGCATAATCTCCCCTTCCCAAATACCTTGTTTTGCACATAGCCCCTTCCAGCACAACCCTATAAAACTTCCCTCCAGCCTCTGCCTCCTTGCAGACAGCCCCTTCTCTGTTATGATGCCCGTTGCTACCTTGCAATGTACTTTCCCTGTAATCTATCTTTCTTTACCTACAACTGTCTTGGTAAATTCCTTTACCACCCATGACACCGGCCCCAGATACTTGCACCTGTGACAGTAGTATTAGAGACTGGGCATGATGGCTTATGCTTGTAATCTCAGCAGTTTGGGAGATTAAGCAGGAGGTTTGCTTGAAGCCAGGAATTTGAGACCAGCCTGGGTAACATACTGAGAACCCATCTCACCAACATGAAAATAAAAATAAATTAGCCAGGCATGGTGATGCTTGCCTGTAGTCCTAGCTACTGGGGAGGCTATGGCAGGAGGATTACTTGAGCCCAGGAGTTTGAGGCTCCCCTGAACTGTCATTGAGCCACTGTACTCAGTCAGCCTGGGTGACAGAACAAAACCTTGTCTCAAAAAAAAAGGCATTAGAATGCTCCTTTTTTATGTAAAAGTTTAGATAATATATGTTGAAAAAATACCCTGCATACTTGTAATTTCCAGTATGCTGGTAATTAGGCTGTCCAAGAAACACCAATAAATAAGTAAATAAAACCCTGAATTATATAGCATTTGCTAATATTCATGGTCTAAATACTCCCACCAAGGCTAACTCCAAGCTGCCAGTGAGCTGCCACTGAACTTGAAGTTGGGAAGAAATGCACATACAAATGGAAAATCAGGTACAAGCTGACTACAGTGCACTATTTTGAGGCTACTTATATTGTTCGGTTTTGTGTAACTTAACTTAGGTTTTTGAAATAAATAAACACTGGAAAAATCAAGAGCAGAATTAATTGACTCTTTGAGTTCGGATTAAATCATTCAACTTCTGTGGAACTCAATTTCCTTCTTCATAATATTGATGCCCCCTCTACCATTCTAAAGTGTTGAAGAGCTATGCAAGTTACGTTAATGGAAAGGAATGATTGCACGACTATCTG
The DNA here is from genome assembly GCF_000001405.40 of Homo sapiens. Taxonomy (NCBI): domain Eukaryota; kingdom Metazoa; phylum Chordata; class Mammalia; order Primates; family Hominidae; genus Homo; species Homo sapiens. The sequence goes on along the minus strand of NC_000011.10, from coordinate 99,415,766 downwards.
TTAATTAGTTCACATTTTGGTGGTGCTAGGTCTTATTGGGGCCCAGAAAATGATATCACAAAGTGAAGGCCTCAGAAGCAAAGTTTATCTTTGACACTCTCCTGCTCTCCCCTCAGTTTCTCCAGAGGCTAGCCATAGAAACAACTAGAATCCCCCACCCACAATGTGAGTCATAGAAACCAGAACTCCCTTTCGTCAAAGACAGCCATAAAACCTGAAAGTATTACTTTAACTTTCCCCCTCTTTTCTGCATAACAGCTGGCCATAAATAAATTTTCTGATTTACCTGGTATAGGTTATAAGACCCACATTCCAGAGAGGCCCTGCCCCATACCCAGAAGGAAGGAGAGAATGCCTCACAGAGAGGCCAAGAAGAAGCTGAACAGACAAGCCTTGCTGGGTTTTCTTCCTCACACTATTAGACTACTATTAGATCACACATTTTTTTTTTATCCAGTCACATTTCTACTCACTGTCCCTGCTTCATTAAACCTCAGAAGAAAATCAGATGGCTTCCCATGTACCTTTAGGTTATTCAATCTGAAGGTTCAACGTGTTGTGTAAAACTTTGATTAAATAAATCTGTTGTGCTTTGCTCCTGTTAACCTCCTTTTTGTTTATAGGAATGCTCACCACGACCCTTATGATGGATGATGGGTAAGAAAAGATATCACACATTTTCACGCCTATAATTCCAAAGAGTGTGTTTTAGCATGCCTTGTTGAAATAATCCATGAGAACAAATACTTCAAGAATTACAATATTGAGTTGCCTGTTTTACTGGAGTTTTCTTAAAAAATAAAATAGTTCAGATATTTATAACAGGAAGCCAAAGGCAACTAAAAAGCACAGAAAATTCTATCCTCAAAATGCTTTCCTTCCTTGTTAAACTATATTCAGTATCCTTACTCTGACCACCCGTTTGATTGTCTGCCATTCTCTCCTCTGTCACTCACGACAGACACAAAGACTTTCTTGCCATTCTTCCAGAATAGCAAGATTATTTTAGTCTCAGGATTTTGGGCACTCTTCTCTGTGCTTGAAATAATTTCCCCCAGATATCCACACATCTTAGTCTCTCCCATAATTCAGGTCCTGCTCAGATGTCATTTTAACAGAGAGAACTTCTCAAAACATCCCTCCCATACCCCTATCACTATCTGCCCTGATTATATAGCTCTATTTTTCTGCCTAGCCTGACCTCATGACATACTGTATATGTATTTGTTCATTGCTGAACTTCTTTGTAAAGTTAAGAATGTATATATATATTCTTATACATATATATTCTATATATATTCTGCATACATACACACATATGTATATAATTTTCTGCTGTATCTCCAGGTCATAGTGCTTAAAAGAGTTTCTGGCACTCAGCAGGCACTTATTAAATATCCATGTGTGCACAACTATACACATACATCCCCTTTCCATGGGGCAGAGAAAGAGCATCACCAACACACCCAGCTCAAAACTTTCTAGAATTTAAATTAAACGTGTTAACACAGTGATATCAATATTGCAATATGGAAATGTATATTTTTGTTATTTTCTCAGCGTTTGTTCAGCTGGAACTAATGCGTTATAAGACATAGTTGGACAGAAATATAATATATAACAGGTTTCCTGATCCACAGTGGTTTAGGAGGAAGAGGCAGGAATTTTCTTCAAATATCAACTAATTAACACTGACAACTTGGGATCACTGAAGCTCCTTTCTTTTGTATCTATTTGTTGAACAAATAGAATATCTAGTTATCTGTATTAAATTTGTTTTCTAGCTCAACAGCTTGGTTTTTGGCTGGCCATAAGTAGATTTGTGAAAGATGTGTTGACATTTAATTTATGCATAAGCAAAAATCAATTTATTCTAGACAGAAAGCACTGGTTTTGGCAGAATAGTTGAGATTATAAATAAAAGGATTTTTTTCACTTGCAGATGGTGAAGTCTCTTACTGTGTTACTTTTCCCAACTTTATAAACACCTATAAGAGAGTCATGAATTGTATGTAGTTTCAAGTGTCATTACAACAAAGACTTCTGAGAAAAAAACGAATTTTGAAACAAGATTACTGATTTGTTATTTCTGGTGAAATCTTTTTTGTTTTTGTTTTTTTGTTTTTGTTTTGTTTTGTTTTGTTTTTTGAGATGGAGTTCCTCTCTGTTGCCCACGTTGGAGTGAAGTGGCATGATCTCAGCTCACTGCAACCTCTGCCTCCTGGATTCAAGCAATTCTCATGCGTCAGCCTCCCAAGTAGCTGGAATTACAGGTGCCCACCACCACACCTGGCTAATTTTTGTATTTTTAGTAGAGACAGTGTTTCACCATGTAGGCTAGGCTGGTCTCAAACCCCTGACCTCAAGTAATCTGCCCATCTCAGCCTCCCAAAGTGCTGGGATTACAGGCCTGAGCCCCTGTGCCCAGCCCTGCTGAATTCTTTAATGATAACTTGTCACACTGTTAGTTGCCCATTGACATATCAAGATATTTCAGACTAAGTCCCTTGCTTTTGTGTTTATTGCCTGTTCTAGTTAATCTTCCTCTTCCTTGCTCTCTTTAACATTATACCTTCCCCGTTAATACTTGACTCTAAGTATTTTTTTCAGGGTGCTTTGATGTAGATTAATTTGCCTGCAAAGATATGGCAGAGACAGATGCTGCTCTGACTTCTGAGTTCTCACTTTAAAGAACAGTGAAATAAAAGGTTAACAAGGTGCAAAGAGATAAGCTGTGTCATTGGTCGTAGAATCCACATGCTGCTGCAGTTTATAATAAAGTCATAAAGTCAAATGTGCAATTTGTTGTTGATGTCTGCTTGGTGATGTACTCTGGTAATAAAACAATTAAATTAGTTATATTCACCCTGCTCTGATTGATGCAGGGTGATCTTCTAATTCAAATTTAAACTTACTAATTCATCTACAGAAAAGGGCAACAAAAATACAGCCTCATTTATGGGTTGAAACAATAATACAATACAAACTCTTCCATAAAGAGAGCAAGTGATAAAGAATGCACTATAACGTTGTGGTGAAAAGCTAGAATTGAGTTCACAATGAGTGTGGCATGGCGACCTCGGGAATTTTATATTATTTCTTCAAGGCTGTTTCCTTCTCTGTGAAACAGGATTAAAGTGGCATCTATTTCCTAGAATTATTGTGAAGATTATGTGTAATAAATATCAACAATTATTAACAGAGTAGCTGGTGCATAGTACTAAATATAACATGTCCAATGATGACGATGATGATGATGATGGAGGTGAGGATAGCAATGAGATGGTGAAATTGATACAGTGATAAATAGTATTCATTGTTTGAACAGCCTTCCCAATTAGCTATTAGTATGAAGACTTGGAAACTACAGATTTTGATTAACTTGAAGTTGGGATCTTTATATATATTCCCTAGAATTGGCACATTTGTGGCTGGTATAAAGAACATATTCAAAAAATATTGAATGGATTTTGAGGATAAGAAACTATCTATTCACCTTTGTTTTCCCTGTCCCTCACCAATGTACAGTACAGTATCTTACTTAGAATTATACTACAATATTCTATAAACTCTGAAAACTTTGTCATTTGCCTTCTTAAGAAAGTTCAAATAATATATTTCTTCTATATAAAAATCATACAAGGAAATGTTACATATCTATGATACATCTTAATACAATATAATTTGAGATAATTTTGAATAATATTATTTAAAAGCTTCATTTCCCCATTTCTTTATTTTTATTCTGGTATGCTTCTTAGTTTGTCAAAGTAATTCAAAGTAATATATCTTGTCTGGCCCATAGTTAAGGGTCTATATGTGGGAGATAAATGTCTTATGAAACATTCAAAATAGGATTGCATGTGTTATTTATTCCGTTAGTCTATGTGGAGTCTACAGGTTGTTTTACCAATCAACCATATGTAAGAAATGAAACTGGAGTTCCATGGGTTTATACAGTGACTTTAGTGCTAAGTTTAGAAATTTTTAAACAAATAGTGCATGGCTTAAAATCCTTGTCTGATAATCCAGATCTTTGCTGGCAAGGGCAAATGCTATTCTATTTCCTTGGGCTCTAGGCTACAAATAGGAGTAATTTGAAGTAGAAACAGTCAAATTAAGAGTCTCCTGGGTGGAAGTTCTCCTTGGGCTCATCTCCAAGCCACATAAAACCCTAAGAGCTGTGATAAAAAGAGCTTCTTTCTAATTTTTTTAAAAAAATTTTTTGTATTTATTTATTTATTTTTGAGACAAGGTCTCATTCTGTCATCCAGGCTGGAATACAATAGCATGATCTTGGCTTGCTGCAACCTCCATTTCCCAGGCTTAAGCCATCCTCCTTCCTCAGTCTCCCAAATAGCTGGGACTACAGGTGGGCACCACCACACCCATATAATTTTCATATTTTTTTGTGGATATGGGGTTTCACCATGTTGCCCAGGCTGGTCTCCTGGGCTCAAGCAATCTGTCTGTGGCCTCCCAAAGTGCTGGGATTGCAGGTGTGAGCTACTGCTCTTGGCCCTCTTTTCTGTCTGATTTCTGGCTTCCTCAACTGAAAAATTGTAATTATATATTGTGGAAATTTCAACAGACAAGGGAAAAACTTAAGCTATGTAAAAATTAGAAAATATGTGAAAATAAACATGTTACCAATATAGATTTATTGATTAACTTTATTTCATAAAATGTTTTCTGTGAATGTAATAGAACAATTCATAAAGAATAATGAAAGTTTTATTTATGAAAGTTCAGATAATCTCTGTAAAATGCGCAGCTCAATATACGCAAATAAATTTGGGAAATCTACTTGCTTTCTATTACTGTATACTGTGGTTTGGAAACTTCTAAGATTAGGTTGTTAAAGGAGAGTGCACAAAACTGCTGATTCATTAATTTTCTAATAATAAACTGTGACAAGTAACTATAAATGATTATCAGGGAATAGAGTGAGCAACAGCTATAATGAACACAGAGGGGGTACATTTCCAAAATAGCATGTGCCATATGTACGCACAAAACCAATTATGCAAGTAATGTACACATTATTCATGCCATGTTTTGCAAATCAGCAAACCTTTTAAAGTTCCTTCTAATGAAAAGTTTGCTGATTGTTGCCCAGGGAAAATCAAGGAGAATTTGAGTAGTACTTTCTGGATAAATTTACAGCTGTTTAGCTATTTCTCTCTCTCTCTCTTCTTCTCTGGTTTTGGGTCCCTTTAATCATCAAGAATAAATACTTGCAAAAAAAATACATTTAGAAACCTTTTGTTCCACAGTTTGGACTCACATCAGGCATCTAGCATGTTATTTAGAACAGTCTTTCATGGCTCTGGCAATATGGATCTAGCTTGCCAGTCTTTTATGAAAACAAGGAAAGGTATGTGCATTTTTCTCCTGTAAGTTAATTCTTGTCCTTGTTTTCACCTATTTCCTTAACCGTGTCAGTTCTTCTACAAATTGCAAAGGACCTTCTTATAATTTTATAAATTGAGATAAAGAAAACAAGGCTGCATAGCTTGTGTATTGAACTTAAATTTTAGCTCTTTCATTTTCTAGCTAGGAAACTAAAATACAAGCTAAACGGAGTGTATTTCTTTTTCCTATAATTCACCACTATTTGTACTCTTCTATCAAGTCATTAATCATTCTTTTTTTGATAATCATCTTATAAATATGTTTTGCAAACTAAGCCTCCAACAAGGTTATGATATTAATTATCATATCCCTGGCAAAACACCTTATAACTCCCAGAAACTTATTGCATGTTGGATAAATGAATAACCTGAGAGCAACTTGCGATGGTAAGTGTAAGTGCCTAGCACAGAAATTGGAATATAGTAACAATAAATGATAGTTGACTTTGTGTCTTAATGACAATTTATTATTAAGCTTTCCTTTCCCAATATCACATCCTTTTTCTTCTACTAAGTAGTCACATAATTCTTACAAATTAACTTCAATTTTTGGTTCAATTATTAGGTCATTTTGCCATACTAGTAAAATGCAACCCACACTTGATGGCTGCAATGACCTCTAAGCAATTCAACGAGTTCACTCGGTTCCATCATTCTAATAACTATTGCTATACTATTTTTCTCTCCTTGTTTTACCCAGTCTTGCATATTTCACAAAGCCTTTGTTTCTTCATCATCACCACTTCTCAACAAAAATCACCAACGTATTAATTCATGATTTATTTTTATCTGTTTACAGATGATCTTTAACCTCTCAAAAAGTTTTGTATCAGAATAAAAACATTTTTGTCAGTGCCTTTATTTATTTATTTTTTTATTTTTGAGACGGAATCTCGCTCTGTTGTCGCCCAGGCTGGAGTGCAGTAGCACGGGCTTTGCTTGCTGCAAGCTCCATCTCCCGGGTTCACGCCATTCTCCTTTCTCATCCTCCTGAGTAGCTGGGACCACAGGCGCCTGCCACCATGCCTGGTTAATTTTTCTTTTGTATTTTTAGTAGAGATGCGGTTTCACCGTGTTAGCTTGGATGGTCTCGATCTCCTGACCTCGTGATCCACCCACCATGGCCTCCCAAAGTGCTGGGATTACGGGCCTGAGCCATCGTGCCTGGCCGGCAGTGCCTTTTAAAGATAGTGACTAATAACTCTTTTTTGAACTAAAGTAATTAAAATTATTAGAAATATCAACTACATTATTTCAACAAGTAAGAATGGCCACATAATTAGATTACTTACAACAAACTAATTCACTACTATTAGAATCAGAAATTCCAATAAACAGAATCACAAAACAGGCTGACTGTTGAAAATCACAAATGATGTTTCACCAAGAGAGAAAGTTGACTTGGGATTTATTTTGCAGATTATTATAAGAATACATGATTTAAAATGATCTTAACAACAGATGGTCATGCCCAAAATAGTTAAAGATTACCTATTATTATTCAGTCAACCATTGTTTTATGTAAAACTACACAGTATATTTTTCTTTGTTAATTAAAGTAGGCAGGCTCTGACTCAAATTTAATTGGGTGGCCAAGTTCATTTAAGATACAGATTTTTATTTTTTTGGAGGTTAAATCTGAAAAAGTGTATAAACTTATTAATTTATGGGGCAAGATAATGTTTTCTAAATATTTACATTTATAATTTAAAAGGGATGTTTACACATATAAAGAAGCCTGCATTAATCTCAGCACTTTGGGAGGCCGAGGCAGGAGGATGCCTTGCGGTCAGGATTTTGAGGTCAGCCCAGGCAACATATTGAGACTCCAATTTCTATGAACTAACTTTCTTTCTTTCTTTCTTTCTTTCTTTCTTTCTTTCTTTCTTTCTTTCTTTCTTTCTCTTTCTTTCTTTCTTTCTTTTTCTTTCCTTCCTTTCTTTCTCTCTCTTCTTTCTTTCTTTCTTTCTTTTTTTTTTTTTTTTGGTAGCCTGGTGTAGTGGCATGTGCTGGTAGTCCTAGCCACTCAGAAGGCTGAGGTGGAAGTTCCAGGCTGCAGTGAGCTATGATCGCACCACTGCACTCCAGCCTGGGCAACAGAGTAATACACAGTCTCTTGTATCTAATAATAATAACAATGATACTTTTTAAAAAAGAAGCCTGCAAAAACGCCAGTGAAATTAAAAGGAGGGCTGCAGCAAGATGGTGGTGGAATAGAAGGGTCCAACAAATATTGCTCCCCACCTGCCCTGCCAAGGACACTAATTTAATGACTATCTACAGAAAAAAGCACCTTTGTAAGAACCAAAAATAAGGTGAGCACTCACAATACCTGGTTTTAACTTCATATCACTGAAAGAGGCACTGAACAGGTAGAAAAAACAGTTCCGAATCACCGATGTCACACTTCTCCAATCCCTGGGTAGTGGAAGCATGATGCAGAGAGTATTTTTGTGCCCTATGGAGATGGAGAGTCAGTGATTATGAGGCACTGAACTCAGTGCTGCCCTTGTTATAGAAGAAAGCAAAACTAGACCAAACTCCCCTGATGCCTGCCCATAAAGAGAGCACTCAAATGAGTCCTAGTGAGGGGGGAGTTACAGATTCTAACAGTCAGAACTTGAATTCCCACAAGCCTTGCCACTACAAGCTAAAGGCCACTGGGGCCCCAGATAACCTTGAAAGGCAGTTTAGGCCACAAGAACTGTAACACCTAGGTGAGTCCTAGTGCTGAACTGGACCAAGAGCCAGTTGAGTTGGGGGATAGAGGGACATGACCTACTGAGACACCAGCTGGGATGGCTAAGGGAGTACTTGTCTCACCCCTCTCCTAACCTCAAACTGCACAGCTCACGGCTCCGAAAGAGACCCCTTCCTTCCACTTTAGGAGAGGAGACAGAAGAGTGGAAGGACTTTGCCTTGCATCTTGGATACCAGCTCAGCCACAGCAGGACAGGGCACTAGTCAGAGCTGTGACATCCCTTTTCCAGGCCCTAGATCGCAGATGACATTTCTAGACACACCCTGAGCCAGAAGGGAACCCGCTGATTTGAATAGAAGCACTAGGCCTGTCAGGATTCATCAGTTTCTAACTGAAGAGCCCTTGGGCCCTGAATAACCAGCAGTAATACCCAGATAACTATGTTTAGGGCTTTTCATGAGACTCTGAGATTTGCCGGTTTCAGATGGGAATCAGCACATTCCCAGATGTGGTGGCTATGGGGCAAAACTACTATTGCTCGAGAAAATCAGAGGGAAAAAAGTAAAGTGGACTTTTTCTTTCATGTTAGGTACTCGCTTGGCCACAGGGGGATAGAACACCAAACAGGCTCTTGGGGTTCCCGATTCTAGGACATGGCTATTGGATGGCATTTTTGGACCTACCTTGGGCCAGAGGTGAGCCCACTTCCCTGAAGGGTGAGTCCCAGGCTAGACAGACCTCAAGCTGAATAAAGAGCCCTTGGGCCATAAGGGAATATCTGCAGTATTCTGGCAGTACTCCCGATGAGTCTGATGTGGCAGTGGTCACAGTATGAAGCTCCTCTGCCTTTGAAAATGGGAGAGAAGAGCGGAAAAAAGCTGTGTCTTATGATCTGAATGCTAGATCAGCTGCAGTACAACAGAACACCAGGTAAACTTCTAAGGTTTTTGGCTATAGTCCCTGGCTCCCAGATAGCACCTCTGGACCTGTCCAAGTCCTGGGAGAACTCACCTTTTAAAGGGAAGGACATAGGACTGGCTGGCTTGGCCACCCGCTGATTGTAGAGCCCCAGGGCTTTGAATGAGCATAGGCAGTAGTTAGGGAGTAGTTGCAGCAAGCCTTGGGTGAGACTCAATACCGTGCTGGCTTAAGATCTGACCCAGTGCAGTCCTAGGAGCAGTGGCCACAGGGGAGCTTGTGTCACTCAACCCCTAGCTCCAGATGGCTCAGAACAGAGAGAGAGAGAGAGAGACTCTGTTTGGGACAAAGTATGGGAAAAGAACAAGAATGTCTGTTTGGTAATCCAGAGAATTCTTCTGGCTCTTATCCAAGACCATCAAGGTGGTACCTCTATGAGTCTATAAGAACCACAGCATTATTGGGCTTGGGGTGCCCCTTCAAGCAGATACAGATTAGATCACAATTCCCAAGCCTTTTTGAATATCTGGTAGGCCTTCCCAGGAAGGATGAGTGCAAATAAGCCCAGATTGTGAATACTACAATATATATCTAACTCTCCAATGCGTAGAAACAGGTAAACATCTAGAAGTATCAAGACAAGCCAGGAAAACATAACCTCACCAAGTGAACTAAATAAAGGACTAGGGACCAATCCTAGAGAAACAGAGATATGTGAGCTTCCACACCGAGAATTCAAAATAGCTGTGTTGAGGAAACTCCAAGCCATTCGAGATAACACACCAAAGGAATTCAGAATTCTTTTTTTTTTTTTTTTTTTTTTTTTTTTTTTTTTTTTGAGACGGAGTCTCGCTCTGTTGCCCAGGCCGGACTGCGGACTGCAGTGGCGCAATCTCGGCTCACTGCAAGCTCCGCTTCCCGGGTTCACGCCATTCTCCTGCCTCAGCCTCCCGAGTAGCCGGGACTACAGGCGCCCGCCACCGCGCCCGGCTAATTTTTTGTATTTTTAGTAGAGACGGGGTTTCACCTTGTTAGCCAGGATGGTCTCGATCTCCTGACCTCATGATCCACCCGCCTCGGCCTCCCAAAGTGCTGGGATTACAGGCGTGAGCCACCGCGCCCGGCCAGGAATTCAGAATTCTATCAGGTAAATTTAACAAAGAGATTGAAATAATTTTTAAAAATCAAGCAGAAATCCTGTAGGTGAAAAATGCAATTGGCATACTGAAGAATATATCAGAGTCCTTTAATAGAAGAAACGATCAAGCAGAAGAAAGAATTAGTGAGCTTGAAGAGGTTGCTTGAAAATACACAAAGAAGAGAGATAAGAATAAATAACTAAAACAATGAAGCACAGCTATAGGATCTAGAAAATAACCTCAAAAAGGCAAACCTAAGAGTTACTGTCTTCAAAGAGAAGGTAGAAAAAGAGGGATAGAATGTTAGTCAAAGGGATAATAACTTCCTAAATCTAGAGATACCAATAGTCAAGTGCAAGGTTATAAAACACCAAGCAGATTTAACTCAAAGAAGCCTACCTCAAGAAATTTAATAATTAAAATCCCAAAGGTCAAGAATAAAGAAATGATCCTTAAAGCAGCAAGAGAAAAGAAACAAATGACAGACAATGGAGCTCCAATACATCTGGTAGCAGGCTTTTCAGTGGAAACCTTACAGGCTAGGAGAGAGTGGCATCACATATTTAAAGTTCTAAAGGAAAAAAAAAGTTTTACCTTAGAATAGTATATTCGGTGAAATTATCCTTCAAACATGAGAGAGACATAAAGGCTTTCCTAGACAAACAAGAGCTGAAGGATTTCATCAACACCAGACCTGTCCTATAAGAAATGCTAAAGGGAGTACTTCAATAAGAGAGAGAAGAACATTAATGAGCAATAAGAAATCATCTGAAGGTACAAAACTCACTGGTAATAGTAAGTATCTCAAAAAACCACAGAACACTATGACATTGTAACTGTGGTGACCAATAAAAAATAAAAACTATGACAACGTTTTAAGACAGACAGTACAATAAGATGTAAATAGTAACAAAAAGTTAAAAAGCACAAGGATGAAGTTAAGGCATACAGTCTTTACTAGCCTTGTTTTAGCTTGTTCCTTTATGCAAATAGTGTTAAGTTGTTATTAACTTAAATAATGGGTTATAAGATAGTGTTTGAAAGCCTCATGGTAACCTGAAACCAAAAAATATATAATGGATACAGAAAAAAATAAAAAGCAAGAAACTAAGTCATAGCACCAAAGAAAATCACCTTCACTAAAAGAAATACAGAAAACAAAGAACAAAAAAAGAGAAGACCACAAAACAACCAGAAAACAAAAAACAAAATTGTAGGAGTAGGTCCTTACCTACCTATCAAAATTAACATTGAATGTAAATGGACTAAATTTTTCTATCAAAAGCTGAATAAAGAAAAAAAAAAACCATTGATCTGTTGCCTATAAGAAATAAACTTAACTTATAAATACACACATAGTCTGAAAATAAACGGATGAAAAAATAAATTCCATGACAATAGAAACCAAAAAAAAGCAGAAACAGCTATACTAATGCAACACAAAATAGATTTCAAGACAAATTATATAAGAAGACACTAAGAAGGTCCCTATATAATGATTAAGGGATCAATTCAGCAAGAGGATATAAAAATTTTAAATATATATGCACCCGATACTAGAGCACCCAGGTATATAAAGCCAATATTTTTAGAGCTAAATACAGAGATAGACTCCAATACAATGATAGTTGGAGACTTAAACACCCCACTTTTAGCATTGGACAAATCTTCTAGACAGAAAATCAACAAAGAAACATCAGACTTAATCTTGACTATAGACAAAATGGACATAATAGATACTTATAAAACTTTTCATCCAAGAACTGCAGAATACACATTATTCTCCTCAGCACATGGATCATCATCAAGGACAGCCCATATGTTAAGTCACAAAACAAGTCTTAAAACATTCAAAAAATTGAAATAATATTAAGGATCTTCTCTAACTACTATGGAATAAAACTAGAAATCAATAACAAGAGGAATTTTGAAAACTATAGGACTATATGGAAATTAAACAATATGCTCCTGAACGACTAGTGGGTCCATAAAGAAATTAAGGAGAAAATTGAAAAATTTTTTGAAACAAATGATAATGGAAACCAAACATAACAAAACCTATGGGACAGAGCAAAAGCAGCAATAAGAGGTAATTTAAAAGCTGTAAGTGCTCACATCAAAAAGGAGAAAAACTTCAAATAACAATCTCCCAATGCATCTTAAAGTATTAGATAAGGAAGAGTAAACCCACCCAAAATTTGTAGAAGAAAAAAAATGATAAAATGAGAACAGAAATAAATGAAAATAATACAAAAGATCAATGAATCAAAAAGTTGGCTTATCGAAAGTTAAACAAGCCAGGCGTGGTGGCTTATGCCTGTAATCCCAGCAGTTTGGAAGGTTGAGGCAGGCAGATCACGAGGTCAGGAGATTGAGACCATCCTGGCTAACATGGTGAGACCCCATCTCTACTACAAAAAATTAGCCAGGCATGGTGGTAGGCGCCTGTAGTCCCAGCTACTTGGGAGGCTAAGGCAGGAGAATGGCGTGAACCCGGGAGGTGGAGCTTGCAGTGAGCTGGAATCCCGCCACTGCACTCCAGCCTGGGTGACAGAGCAAGACTCCATCTCAAAAAAAAAAAAAAAAGAAGTTTAACAAAATAGACAAACTTTTAGCCAGACTAAGACAGAAAAAAAAAAGGAAAGATTAGAATAAATAAAATCAGTGATGAAACAGGAGACATGACAGTTGATACCACAGGAATTCAAAGGATCATTAGTGGCTACTATGAGTAACTATATGCCAATAAATTGAAAAATCTAGAAGAAATGGACAAATTCCTTGACACATACAACCTACCAAATTGAACTACAGAGAAATCCAAAACCCGAACAGACCCACAAGAATTAACAAGATCAGAGCTGTAATAAAGTCTCCCAGTAAAGAAAAGCTCAGAATCCAGTGGCTTCACTGCTGAATTCTACCAAACATTTAAAGAACTAATACCAATCCTACTCAAACTATTCCAGAAACTAGAGGAGGAGGGAATGCTTCAAAAGTATTCTACGATGTCAGTATTATCCTGATATCATAATGAGACAAAAACAAATTTAAAAACAACAACAAAACTATAGGTCAATATCCCTGATTAATATTGATGCAAAAACCCTTAACAAAATATTAGCAAACCAAATTCAACAATACATTAAAGATACTGTTCATTATGATCAAGCAGAATTTACCCCTGGGATGCAAACATAGTTCAACATATGCAAATTAATCAATGTAATACATCAGATCAACAGAATGTAGGACAAAAACCATATGATCATTTTAATTGGTACTATAAAAAGCATTTGATAAAATTCAATATCGCTTCATGTTAAAAATGCTTAAAAAACTGGGGATAGAAGGAACACACCTCAACATAATAAAAGCCACATAGGACAGATTTACAGCTAGTATCATACTGAATGGGGAAATACTAAAAGCCTTTCTTCTAAGATCTGGAACATGACAACAATCCTCACTATGATCACTGTTATTCCCTACAGTACTGGACACCCTAGTTAGAGCAACCAGACAAAAGAAATATATAAAGTGCGTCCAAATTTGAAAGAAAGAAATCAGATTATCCTTGTTTGCACATAATACAATCTTAAACGTGAAAAAACCTACAGACTCCACCAAAAATCTATTAGAACTCATAAACAAATTCAGTAAAGTTGCAGGATAGAAAATCAATATACAAAAATCAATAGAATTTCTATATGCTAACAGTAAACTGAAAAAAAAGTAGTGCCATTTACAGTAGCAACAAGTAAAGTTAAACATCTAGGCATTAAGTTAACTAAAGAAGGAAAAAAACCTCCATAATGAAAACTATAAAACACTGATGAAAGAATTGAAGAGGACACCCCACAACGGAAATATAGCTCATGTTCACGGATTGGAAGAATCAATATTGTTAAAATGTCCATACTACCCACAGCAATCTACAGATTCAATGCAGTACCTACCAAAACACCCATGACATTATTCACAGAAATATTTTGAAATTCTAAAATTTATATGGAACCACAAAAGTACAGAACAACCAAAGCTATCCTAAGCAAAAAGAACAAAACTGGATGAAGCACATTACCTGACTTCAAATTATACTACAGAGGTATAGTAACCAAAATAACATGATATTGTACTGGCATAAAACAGACACATACATCAATGGAACAGAATAGAGAACCCATGAACAAATCCACATACCTACAGTGAATTCATTTCTGACAAAGGTACCAAGAACATACCTTAGGGAAAAGACAGTGTCTTCAGTAAATGGTGCTAGGTGAACTGGATATCAATATGCAGAACAATGAAACTAGATCCCTATCTCTGACCATATACAAAATTCAAATCAAAATGGATCAAAGACTTAAATTTAAGACCTCAAACTATTAAACTACTACAAGAAAACATTAGGGAAGCTCTCTAGGTCAACTGTCTGGAAAAGATTTTTTGAGTAATACCCCCAAAACACAGACAACCAAAGCAAAAATAGACAAATGGGATCATATCAAGTTAAAAAGCTCCTGCAAGGTAAAGGAAACAACCAACAAAGTAAACAGACAACCCACAGGTTGGAAGTAAATATTTTCAAACTACCCATCTGACAAAGGATTAATAACTAGAGTATATAAGGAGCTCAAACAACTCTATAGGAAAAAAATCTAATAATCTAATTTTAAAATGGGCAAAACATTTGAATATACATTTCTCAAACGAATACATAAAAATGGCAAAGCAACACATGAAAAGGTGCTCTACGTCACTGATCATTAGAGAAATGCAAATCAAACTACAATCAGATATCATCTCACCCCAGTTAAAATGGCTTATATCCAAAAGACAGGCAGTAACAAATGCTGGTGAGGATGTGGAGAAAAGGCAACCCTTGTATGCTATTGGTGAGAGAGTGAATAGTACACCCACTTTGGAGAAGGGTTTGGAGGGTCCTCAAAAGACTAAAAATAGAGCTACCATATGACCCAGCAATTCCACCACTGGGACTATATCCCCCATAACAGAAATCAGTTCGTGGAAGAGATATCTGCACTCCCATGTTTGTTGCAGCTCTGTTCACAATCGCCATCAACAGATGATTGGATTAAGCCTAAGTGTCCATCAACAGATGATTGGATAAAGAAAATGTGGTACTCCTACACAATGAAGTACTATTTGGCCATAAAAAAAGAATGAAATTCTCACCATTTGATAAGCAACAACGTAAATAGAACTCACCCTTCAGTCCATTCTATTGTTCATTCCGTTCATAATGAACTGGAGTTCATTATGTTAAGCGAAATAGCAGGCACAGAAAGACAAACACTACATGTTCTCACTTATTTGTGGGATTTAAAAATCAAAACTATTGAACCCTTGGAGATAGAGAGTAGAAGATTGGTAAGCAGAGGCTAAGAAGGGTAGTGGGTGGTAGAGGGGTAAAAGGAAAGTGGGGATGGTTAATGGGTACAAAAGTAGAGTTAAAATGAATGTATAAGGCCTAGTATTTGATAGCACAAGGATGTGACTACAGTAAATTGTATGTTTTAAAAGTACTAAAAGTACCATTGTACAATTACTAAAAGTATAATTGTATTGTTTGTAACATGAAAGAGAAATACTTGAGGGGATAGATACTCCATTTTCCATGATGTGATTATTACACATTGCATGCCTGTATCAAATATCTCATGTACTCCATAAATGTATCCACCTTCTATGTACCCACAAAAATTAAAAATAAAAAATTATAGAAAAAAAGCCAAAGAAATTAAAAATAAAAATAAACAAAACAAAGCTTACAATAACAAATATCTGAGAGAATCAAAGTTTTTTATAATTGAACAACTAAAAAAACCAAAGTGTAATCTTCAAAAAATATTTAGATAAGCAATAATCTTTGGTGTATTTTCTGGTTATTGGACATATAAAGTTATTTTAAGAGAAAAATATTTCCACCACTGTTCCACCAACACTTAATAAAAAAAAAAGCCCTTTGCCTTATATACCATTGCATATATAACTACAAAGAATTAGAATGTGTTATTACATAATCGGCTCTTATCTTTAGATAATGTGTGAGGTAGTCATAAAGAATATTTCTACATGTTTTGTAAAACTTTAAAAATTAATTTTAATAATAATGTTTATTATATAGCTCAATGTTCCTTTTATGTGAATTAAATATAAATTTCTTTATTACTCAATAATTTAGTTACTTTCTTGATCAACCAAAAATCCCTTTTATCGAATAACAAGGATCTCATAATTTAGAATTTTTCAAATTTGTTCTGAAATCTAATAAGTTTAGAACTGCATTGACTACTGTCACATATCCTTAATGCTCTTGATAGTTTATTCAATTATATGTATAGACAATATCTATATGAATAAGTATATGTATTATATCATTTTCTTTCATTAATATTTTAGTTTTTTTTATTCCACAAATGCTTATGTAGCCCCATAATTTGTCAGGGAAATGTATACAATTAAATGTTAAATGCTGTCTCAGATGAATAATTCTATCAGAGTGATATGGTTTTTCTGTAACCATAACAGAAGTAAGAGACCTCTACTATCTGGAGAAGTTGGGGAAGAATTTGGAGAGGACATGAAGAGTATATGAGACAGAAAGGATGTGCAGGAGTTTGTTAAGTGGGGTGAAGGTGGCAGGTTGTAGCAGATACGGTGTGATTTTCAAAAGGAGAGCAAAAAAGGCAAAGGAAATTCTTGTAGGAGGGAGAGAGGTGATATGAGTTGTCAGCACATAGCTGCCCACAGCTGTTTAGAGTAGCTTTATTCATAATCGCCAAAAACTGAAGGCAACCAAAGATGGTCTTTAAAGTAAAAAAATTGATAAACAGACTGACATCCATACAATGGAATATTGTTTGAATGGAAAATAAATGAATTATCAAGTGTTGAACAGACATGGATGAATCTCTAAGATGTATTATATGAAATACAGCCATTCTGAAAAGCTACGTACTATATAATTCCAATTATATGATATTCTGGAAAAAGTAAACAAAAAATAGGGATGGTAAGTGATTCCCAGGGGTTTTGAGAACAGGCTGGAACATTGGAAGCACAGAGGATTTTTGGTGGTTGGTGAAACTGTCCTGTATGATACAGTAATGATGAATACAAAATATTAAGCATTTGCTAAAATGCATAGAATTTAAAGCATGAAGAGTAAATCTTAATGTATGCAAATCAAATAATTCATTCAGGAGGTTGGAATGCAGAATAGGACAGACGAACAGAAATATATTACAAATGTATAGAATAAATTCAGGAAAAGAGGTGAGAAAAAACGGTTTGACCCTAAGTCACTTTTGAAAGAAAGGAGTCTGTAAGGCTAAAGGCAAAACACAAAACAAAACAAAAAAACACTCTGTAATATAATTGTTAAAGTTTGTCCAAAGTGGGTGTGGGCTAACAATTCTGAAATCACAATCCATGTGTAACTGGCGTTAAGGAATAAAGTCAATGGATGGCTGACAGTCGGAGCCAGGTGTCTCACTGTTGGAATGGGAGGTTGTAGAATATCAATGTGATAATAGATTAGACTGGGAGACATCAGTATGAACTCATGTTTAGCTTAATATAGATATAGATGTGAAATACAGCAATATTTGTAGGCGTGTATATACACACACAGTAGTATACACTCATATATTCCCTTGATCTCTCAACTAAGAGACCATAAAAGCAACAATATTCCTTAGAAATGAGCAAACTTCATGCCCAGATCTAGGTTTCTAATACCATTTTCTGATAAAAGTAGCCAGGGATCCTTGGAGAAATGGTTGATTTTAGGACTGAGGAAGGAAATATGTAAAATGAGCCTGAAACATCTTGTAATACCAGAAAAAAAGGAAGTGGTCTACAAACAAACAAACAAGCAAAACAAACATGAGAGTATTTCAATAGGGCACAGAATTTATCTGAAAGAGCTCTTAATGATGAAAGTGGATATATTTAAGCAACAAAATAAAGTATAATGAATTATAATCAAAAGCTTAAAATGAGTATCCAACTAATACAAATAAATCATTAGATAGATAGGTAGATAGATAGATAATAAATGGAGGAAAAAAATCTGTACAAAAGAATTCCAAATAATTTATGTGTAGATATGCTGTTGTTAAGGAGGTGGATAATTACTGCCCACTCCTTAAGTGCATAATGACTTTCTTCCTAAGAGTATACTACAGAATGGGAGAATAAAAGAGTAGTTACATAGAAAAATCTCTGCCAGTTGATGAAAATCAGCAAAAACTGTAATAAGTCCTGTTGATAATAAGTATTTTTGATATGATGAGAATTGTACTTTACCTCTATGTTCTTCCTCCCAAAAATCTGTAACCCTTACTCTTACCATGGAAAAACATCAGACAAATATCAACTCAGAGATATTCTGCAAAACACCTTACTGATTTTTCTCAAATTATCAAAGTTATCAGCATCTAGAAAAGATGGAGGAACCGTCACAACCTAGAGGACTGGCCATTGGCATCAGAGTTCTGAGGTTAAATGTTGACTTTGTATCTTCCTATCTATTAGATTTTAGGCAATTTGTCAAACTTTTTGAGATGCTCCATTTTCTCATCTATAAAGTTGGAATGACAATACTTCTTAAGCCAAAGTGTTCATACTAAATGGGATAATGCATATTAAAGGCATACCAAATGTGTTGAATGTCGTATGCACTAGATACTTGTTTTATTCCTTCTCACTTAATATTCAACCAGGAATTTAATCCATTTGAAAGTGTTAAAGGCTGACATCACATTCCTGATCATTAGCTCTTACTTTATCTTTTCTTTTTCCATATTAAAATAAAACATGAAAGATGTCTTATCTCCTAACTGTTTGGCTGTTTTCTATAGTACCGCTAAATACAAATTTAATTTATGACAAAAGCAGCTTTCTTATAATAAAAATATTTTCAGAATTTTAGTTCTTTCACTACTTACTCTTTGGTTTCATATATATCAGTC
The DNA here is from genome assembly GCF_000001405.40 of Homo sapiens. Lineage (NCBI taxonomy): Eukaryota > Metazoa > Chordata > Mammalia > Primates > Hominidae > Homo > Homo sapiens. The sequence goes on along the minus strand of NC_000011.10, from coordinate 99,396,589 downwards.
TCTTATGATAGTAGTGATAACTTTTTTTCTCATAACTTCAAGTGTTTTACACTTAAATTTAAAAGGCAAGTACTATATTTATTAACCCATAAAATTTTAAGGATACTGACTGGGGTTTATAAAAACAGGTCCTGTTTTACACAACCACAACTATAAATAACATAATTTTTTATTATGCTTGTAAAAATGACAAATATTGAGATAACCTAGACCACAGAGTTTCTCTATATTTTATTTAGAAACAAAAGTTACTTTAAGAATTGCAAGCACTTTGGGTATTTTTATTTCCTCCTTAAGTTTTATTTTAGAAAAGATTGACCTATTCTATTATGCTCGTATTTAATAATGAGCACAAAATAATTAATACTTTGAAAATTATCTCATTGACACAAACAAATGAAAAAAACATTCCATGATCATGGATAGAAAGAGTCAATATCATTAAAAAATGGCCATACTGCCAAAGTAATTTATAGATTGAATGCCATTCCTATTAAACTACCATTGATATTTCACAGAACTAGAGAAAGCCATTTTAAAATTCATATATAACCAAAAAAGAGCCCAGATATACCAGGCAATCCTAAGCAAAAAGAACAAAGCTGGAGGCACCACACTACCTGACTTCAAACTATACTGCAGGCCTACATTAACCAAAACAGCATGGTACTGGTACAAAAACAGACACATAGACCAATGGAACAGAATAGATAGCCCAGAAATAAGGCCAAACATCTAAGACCATACGTTCTTTGACAATGCTGACAAAAACAAGCAATGGGGAAAAGACTACCTATTCAATAAATAGTGCTGGGATAACTGACTAGTCATATGCAGAAGGTTGAAGCTGGACCCCTTCCTTACATCATATACAAAAAATCAACTCGAGATGGATTAAAGACTTAAATGTAAAACCCCAAGCTATAAAAACCCTGGAAGACAACCTACAGAGTACCATCCTGGACATAGGAATGGGCAAAGATTTCATGACAAAGACACCAAAAGCAATGGCACCAAAAGTAAAAATTGACTAATAGGATCTAATGAAACTAAAAAGCTTCTGCACAGCAAAAGAAACTATCAACAGAATAAACAGACAACTTACAGAATGGGAGAATATTTTTGCAAATTATACATCTAACAAAAGTCTAGCGTCCAGCATCTATAAGGAACTTAAAGAAATTTACAAGAAAACCAACAAACAATACCATTCAAAAATGAGTAAAGGACATGAACAGGCACTTCTCAAAAGAAGACATACATATGACCAACAATCATATAAAAAAAGCTCGACACCACCGATCATTAGAGAAATGCAAATCAAAACCACAATGAGATACCATCTCACACCAGTCGGAATGGCTATTGTTAAAATGTCAAAAATAAAAGATGCTTGTGAGGTTGGGGAGAAAAAGGAATGCTTATACACTGTTAGTGGGAGTATAAATTAGTTTGACCATTATGGAAGACAGTGAGGTGATTCCTCAAAGACCTAAAGATAGAGATACCATTCTACCCAGCAATCCCATTATGGGGTATATACCCAAAGGAATATAAATCGTTCTATTATAAAGTCACACACATGTGCATATTCACTGCAGCACCATTCACAATAGCAAAGACAGTGAATCAACCTGAATGCCCATCGATGTTAGACTTGATAAAGACAATGTGGTCCATATACACCATAGAATACTATGCAATAAAAAAGAAAAAGATCATGTCCTTTGTAGGGACATGGATGGAGCTGGAGGCCATTATTCTTGGCAAACTAACACTGGAACAGAAAACCGAATACCACATGTTATCACTTATAACTGGGACTAAATAATGAGAATACATGAGCACATGGAGGGGAACTATACAAAGTGAAACCTTTCAGAGGATGAAGGGTGAGAGAAAGGAAACGATCAGAAAGAATAACCAATGGGTGCTAGGCTTAATACCTGGGTGATGAAATAATCTGTACAAAAAACCCCATAACAAAAGTTTACCTATGTAACAAACCTGCACTTATACCCCCGAACTTAAAATAAAAGTTTTAAAAAGGGCAATAAAACATAATTTTAAAAAAAGAAAATTATATAATAGTTTCTCATAAACCATGAAAAAGCTAGCATATAAGTTGATTCTGAAATGAAAGATGAATTTATTCCATAATTTTAAGCTAGTGTTTATTTTACAGTTTGGAGGGTGAAAATTTTAATGTGAGTTTGAGGTAATTCTTTTGTTTGTTGTAATGTTACAAAGATACATTAAATCTTTATAATAAAATCATTTTATATTTCTCCCTCCAAAGTATTTTGTAAGAAATTGTGGAAAACAAACATAACATAAAATATTTCTAACCAAATTTTCCCTTGCTGGCTGTTGACTTTAATTTTGTTCAGCCAAAAATATACACAAGTTGATATTCAATAATACTAAATTGACTGCAATTTCCCTTTCTCCTGAGGAATACGTTTCATTATCCACTTACACCCATCATTTGTGAATAAAGAGGGTACTTCACATATTGGCAAAAATATAGAAGGCATGAAACTTCCCTAATGTAATTTCAGCTAATTAAAGACTCGTTAAGAAAGAAATAGAAATGAGAATTTGCCTGAGAACTTGCTTAAGTAATTTTAATTTTTAATCATTTTATTCTCTCACTAATTAAACAGTTTGATGTGTACCTATAGGCTATTTACCTACTTTTCTGCATTTTATCTTACAATTTAGTGTGTGCCCACTAATCAAATCATGATGCTCTGAAGGTATTCAAATTTTTTTCCCACATTGTTTTGTTTCTAAGTACAAAGCTTGTATAATTTCAAAGAAAGTTACTATAGAACTCATATGTTTCTTTTCAGTTTTACAAAAATGGAATTCTGGACAACCATAATATTTAAGGAACAAATAAGATGGGGAATGAGAAGCCAGTAAAAAGGCTAACAAATGAATGGTAAGTGACAGAAAAGGACAATCAGTAGAGAAAAGCAACAGGACACAGTTAAAAAGCCTAAAGTCTTAGAAAACTGAGGTTTGAATCCCAACTCCACTATCTACAAGCTGTGTGACTTTGACTAACTTACTTAGCTCCCTTTGCCTTGATTTCTCCATCTGAAAAAGAGGTGACAACACTACCTACCATATACAGTTGTGAGAATAAACAATATTAAACATAACACATTTATCCTAGGGCCTGGAACATGGTTGCCTTTGCAAACTACCTCTGGATCAAATGAACACTCTTTAATTTACCACCAACCTACTGGTTCTGTCTCCAATCCATGCTTGTTTTATCTTTGAACATACTCCTTTTTCTCCAGCTTTTCCAGTATATTGCTGCAACACCCAATTTCTTATGTCTTCCTGTAACCTGAGTTTGTGCCGTTTCTATTTCTTTAACTACTGAGTACACTTTCCTTCCAGTTGGAGATTTTATTTCTGGACAATTTCTGCCCTTCTTTTGACATTTAGCCTCATGTTACTTATTAGTGGGGCTTTTGTTGAATTTTAATATTTCATCTCTGGGTTTCTATAGCAAAATGTTTTTAAACCACTTAAATTAGATGTCATATTCTATTTGTACATGTGTCTTCTCCAATAGACAATCTTACTCATCCTTATACCATTATTTCCACATGCTATTCAAAGCCAATGTTCAATGAATGTTTGTCATTTTATAGTGAATTGAATATAACTATGCTATTTCTACTTTGAAATGTTTAGGCATGTCCTGTTGTTTGGTCTACAACATTAGATATGGAATGATTAATTGGATTAAAAATATGTCTTTATTCTTTCTTTACTATTTACCCTTTAAAATGAAAAATGTGAACAATTCATGGCAACCTTTTAGTATAATTGTTCTTGTTTATTTATTTGCTTTTTACCATTAACCCAAAGACAAAGATAATTTTTAGGTGGTCTCTGGATTGATATATTATGAGAAAACACACTGTCATCATTTGAAATGTCACCAGTGGAGGTTTTATTCGATGTCTTGGGGACCTGATAATTATATCTAAAGTAATTCATTTAGGTGAGCATAATCACTGGCAATGCAGATGGTAGTGAAAGTCAATATCATCAGATGGGCTGGATGAAAAGTTAGCCTTATCTGTCAATACTGGAGATACTCCAGCAGGAAAACCAGAATTGTTAATCTTGTAATATTTTGTATTTTCAATTTCATCTAAATCCTATGAAGGAGGGGTGGCACTTTTATCAACCTAAATAGGAGACAGGAGAGGGTATTTTTCTCCCTCCTATTTTTGCTATTGTCCTCTTCCATTCAGCACAGTAACAACAATAAAAACTCTAGTACTTATATGTAAGTATAATAACTATTATAGTTGAGTTTTTTATTTTTATTTTTATTTTTATTATTTTATTATTTATTGAGTACAAATACTGCCATGGGATCTAAAAGCATTACATATTATTTCATACTTTTTAAATAGTCACGCAAATATCTTTTTAAATTTTATAAAACTGAGCCTTAGGGTAGTCCAAGTTCTACACACCTCACAGACAATTAACTAAGAATTTGAACCACATTATTTTGTTACAAAACAAATAATAAAAATGATTTCAGCATTGTGAGTATTTTACTTTACATGACATTTTCTTGTGCTGTTTCATTTTATCCTTAGAATTCTGTTTTACTTCTTGAGATTTTCTTTGAGGGACAGTATACAGGTGGGAAAGTCATGCAGGTAATCAGCATATGATTAACATAAATATTCTGACTCTTGTGCCCTTATACCTAATATGACAAGGGTATCCCAGGGAAACAAAAATTTATACAAAAATGTTTTTATGTGATCAGAAGAAAGCAATTTTGGACCAAATACCCTTATACTAAATTCTTACTGACTCCTTTCCACAGTTCAGCTATAAATAATATCATCTCAATTCAACATAAAACTGAGGCTTAATGCCCTACCTTCACCTTTCTATATTATGAATTGTGGATAATAATTTTCCTTCCGGCCATTTCCACATAGCTCCTCTGAGCATCAACTTCAATACTATAGGTAAAAGAATATTGTAAACCAAACAATGCTGTATATATCTTAGCGAAAGCTTGTGTGTCCACATATGTGATGAGATCAGAATCTTAGCTACTATATGACAGCAGCAAGACATAAATTTAGTGCTTTTCATGCCCATCTATTAGTTTGCTCATTCTTTTGTTTACTAACGACCTAAAACTCTCTCCACACTATGCTAAGTGCTAGAAATGGAATTAGATGACAAAGAAGAAGAAAGCTAACAAATGGATTTACAATATAGTTCAGAGTTATAATTAAAAGAACAATCTAGTATTTTCACATAGTCATGCTATTTTTACGATTAACAGTTCAAGAACCAGATTTGAGAGTAAGGCTTTTAAAAAACCAATATTAAACTTGTTTTTTACAGGTTTTAGATAAGAGACTTTACCTTTCACATTGTAGAAAAAATTAAATAAACTTGGAGTTTTAGAAATTGTTTTAAAGACTTAAACAACATCTAGGAGTAATAATACAAAAGGTGTTATTTACTTTGGTTGAATTAAGTTGTTAGATTTCTTTTAAAAGTGAAGTTATTTAGTTAAAATCATTTTTGAGTTATTAGAATATTTCAATAATTACTGGTACAAAGAAACTATAATAAAAACATTAAAAAATATAAAAGTTGTTTTATTTACTATTTTGAAACTAACAATTTCATAGTAATTTTAATGTCAGCTTTAGGATTACTTAATAATTAAATGCCTATGTTAGTATCATTAAAATAACAATTTATGATATGATGGGTACTTTATTACAATATAATTATATCAGGAAAGATGACTTCAGAAACATCTTAGAAATCTGAAAATGTAGCCAGGAATGTTCGAAGTTTATTGGCTTATTTCAGTTTATTTAAGAACGAATAACACAGGAAAATTTTAGAGACATTGAATTTAGTACAATGTACAAACTATTCTTTAATTATTCATATTTCATTAGTTTGTACGCAAATGGATAAAAATTCTGAGCTCAACATAATATGGTGTGAATCTGAAGTCCAACTATTTTAAGTTTTGTGTCAAACTATAACATTTTAGTAAGATACTTTATATATGTCATCAACTTATTATAAGGTAAAGATATATTTGTTTTAAAATCTTTCTTTTTTCTTATGAATAACAAGTATGTCTTTCTTTTAAAGAGAAAGGTTTTTCCCAGTGCTTCAGGAGGCTGAGACTGGAGGATAGTTTGAGCCATGGGTTCAAGACCAGTGTGGGCAATATGGCAACCCCCATCTCTATGAAAAATAAAAACAGATGAGCTGGGCTTAGTGGTACATGCCCATAGTCCTGGCTACTCAGTAGTTTGAGGCAGTAGGATTGCTTGAGCTCAGAAATTCAAGGTTACAGTAAGCTATGATTGTGCCACTGTTCTCGAACCTGGGCAACAGAGACCCTGACAAAAAAAAAAGGCTTATTTTATTTTTTATTTGAGAACAAGAATTTTGTTTTGTTTAAGTATTAAATCATTCACCAATGTCATATACCTACTATATGTCAGGCATTGTGCTATGCATTAGAACTAATTAGATATTTAAAGCATGCTTTAGATTCTCATATTGAGGACTGGACAAAGAGTTGAGAATGATAAACTAGCTTAAATATTAAATTTTAACTTGATTCCAAAAGTAATCACACTTTCACATTCGATTAAAGGAAAGGCCAATTCTGGTTAATGTGATTTTTATTAATTAAGAAATCATTAAGAAATAACTAAATGAAACCCTTCACCATAAGTTTCCAAATTAATTTAAATCTCTAATCAGATTTTATTCCTACCACTTGGGGAAAATTCCAGCTTCTTATTTGCATCTGCCTATATTTCGACATTTTATAATTCTGTTAGTCATTCTGCTACTTTTTTACCAAATGTTATTCCACCTGATTTAAAATACAGTTTTATTTGCACATTTGGGAGTGCCTGTGTGCATGTTTGTGTGGGTAGGACAGAGTTATATGAAAGTAAGGTCTACACTATGCTGATTCTTATCTATAAAGGGAAAAAGTATTCATTTATGTTAATCAGCACTACGCATTATCTGCAAAGTTAAAGTTATAAGACTCAAAAATCTAGAACAGGCTCCTTTTGAGCTATTATGTGAACCTGATTATACACAATACAGGTACAAGTAGAATTTTTCTTAAAGATTTAGTTATTTCCATTGCATATCCCATTTAAAAGGTGTTTAACCTGGGATAGAAAATAAGGACTGGAGGCCAGGCACGGTGGCTCACGTCTGCAATCCCAGCACTTTGCAGGGCTGAGACAGGTGGATCACCTGAGGTCAGGAATTTGTGACCAGCCTAGTCAACATGGTGAAACTTGTCTCTACTAAAAATACAAAATTAGCTAGGCATGGTGGCACATGCCTGTAATCCCAGCTACTTGGGAGGCTGGGGGAGGAGAATTGCTTGAACCTGGGAGGCAGAGGTTGCAGTGAGCCAAGATTGTGCCATTGCACTCCAGCCTGGGCAACAAGAGCAAAACTCCATCTCAAAAAATAAAATAAAATAAAATAAAATAAAATAAAATAAAATAAAATAAAATAAAATAAAATAAGGACTGGAGAATTAGGTGTCTTAAATTGAGTTAAAGATATTTCTTCTTTGTTTTAGTCCTAGGCAATCTGGTCTGTGTTCCACAGTACCCAGAGCATTTCAATGGGTATTATGCACTGTGTATGTGTGTCTGTGTCTGTGTGTAAGCAGATTAGGAGATAAATCTGTTCCTATCATAGAAAGTGGTTGAAAACTGGGCAAGTTTGTATGGTTATAAATGATTCTAACTGCAGATTTAGCCCTAAGGACTATGAACAAATCTGTATGTATAGTAGCAGGTGTAAAAAGTTTCGTGTTCTTTCTTTCACTGACATAGAAATTTAAGTACATGTTTACAATGTGGCAGTAGATTCCACACTGGTTTCATTAAGATAGCAGTCTGATTTCAATGGGCTTGTCCTGGTAAGCAAGACAAATCAGTTCATATTTGTTGATTTATTGATTGCATATCATTCTAGAAACCAAAGATACGCATGGCACTATATCTGCTTTCAAGTAGTTTACAAGCGTACAAAGTGCCATGAAGAGAAATACAGGAGCTGTGAAAACATGTTTTTTTTTTTTTTTTTGAGACCGGGTTTTGCTCTGTCACCCAGGCTGAAGTGCAATGGTGTGATCTCGGCTCACTACAACCTCTGCTTCCTTGGTTCAAACAATTTTCCTGCCTCAGCCTCCCAAGTAGCTGGGATTACAGGTGTGTGCCACCATGCTCGGCTAATTTTGTATTTTTAGTAGAGATGGGGTTTCACCATGTTGGCCAGGCTGGTGTCAAACTCCTGACCTCAGGTGATCTGCCCGCCTCGGCCTCCCAAAGTGCTAGGATTACAGATTTGAGCCCCCGCGTCCAGCCATGAAAGCATCTTTCAAAAAACCAAACCTAGTCTGCAGAGGGAATAAAAGTTTCTCTGCAGAGTGCTATAATATTTAGACAAATATATGTAGGAGAATCAGGAGTTGTAAGAATAGAGAGAGGGTTCTCAATTCTGGCTGCACACTGGAATCAACTGGAGGCTTAAAAAAATTTTGATACATGGACCTCACCCCCAGATACTTTCATTTCATTTGTCTTGAATGCTGGTTGGCCACTGAGATGTAAAATCCTCTGTAACTGATTCCAATGTGCAGCCAAGGTTAAAAACAACTCACTACTCTAAAAAGTGGCAACAGCATGGTAAAAGCCAAGGATTGAAAGGGCTTGACATGTCTATATACCTACAAATATCCCAGCATAAGGTCAAAGAGAGGAGAGCAGGAAGGGTGGAAGATGGAGTCAGAGGGTCCTTGTGGCAGGGGAAGCTCAGCAACTGAGTAGCAGGAGTCCAGAAAAAAGAGGAGACAGAAACTTCCTTTGGTTAGGGAAAGGGTATTTCTACTGAGTGGATGGACATTTCATGATTACTAGGTGTCAGGTTGATAGCTGAACAAGTTCTAGCTGGATAGTATGAACTTTCTATAGGCGATTATATATTGTTACTTATAATAAATGGTTTGAAATCATTTAAAAGTTAAAATACAGCTAGTAGAAATGGTGTTTAATAATGAAAAGAGATTTGTGGAATTATCATCTATTTAACTCCAGTGATTTGGAACTAAATTTCCTACCATTTCAGTATGGTATCAAAATTTCCCTTTGCAAAACTAAAATGAAATATCTGTGGGTGTGTGACTACGTATGTACTGAAAACAGATAATGTGGCAACATATTGGTCTTAACTGGGGGAAAATGAAATTTTGGGGGGATAGAATTTTTATGGGACAACTACAGCATTGATTAATTGTTACCATTTCTTATGAGTTTGGTGTTTCCTATGGCAAATAGATGTATATAAAATCAACCTCTATTAATTAACCTCCCTGCTATTCAGAGCTTAGATGAGGAGAGAATATGCGGTTAGAAAGAAAATATATGGACTGGGAGATAACATATATCTAATTGGAAAAATTTTACTAGTAATTAACATTTTATAAAATGACCAACAAGTATTAAATAAATGAAATTTTCACCAGAAACTAGAAAAACATGAATGCAAAGAAACAATTGGCCAAATCAAATCCAATAAATTTTAAATAAAAGTTTTTTTGTTTAAATGGCAAAAACTATATAAACTTGAGGAGAAATGCCTTAGAATGGAGGTTATTTGTTGATTGCTTAGTCATCCTCTGTTTCCCTATATCTGGCTCCTAAGTGCTGAGATTTTTGTTCAATTATTTTTCCTTTTTCCACACTACTGAAGTGTCAGAGGTGTGTGAACCAGAGCAACTCCATCTTGAATAGGAGCTGGGTAAAATGAGGTTGAGACCCACTGGGCTGCATTCCCAGATGGTTAAGGCATTCTAAGTCACAGGATGAGATAGGAGGTCAGCACAAGATACAGGTCATAAAGACCTTGTTGATAAAACAGGTTGCATTAAAGAAGCCGGCTAAAACCCACCGAAACCAAGATGGCCATGAGAGTGACTTCTGGCCATCCTCACTGCTACACTCCCACCGGTGTCACGACAGTTTACAAATGCCATGGCAATGTCAGGAAGTTACTCTAGATGGTCTAAAAAGAGGAGCCATGAATAATCCACTCCTTGTTTAGCATATGTTCAAGAAATAACTATAAAAATGGGCAACCCGCAGCCCTCGGGCTGCTCTGTCCATGGAGTAGCCATTCTTTATTCCTTTACTTTCTTAATAAATTTGTTTTTGCTTTGCACTGTGGACTCATCCTGAATTCTTTCTTGTGTGAGATCCAAGAACCCTCTCTTGGGTCTGGATCAGGACCCCTTTCCTGTAACAGATGTGCTTCAGGGGAACCTGACATTACCCAGGTTGGAGGTGGGCCCTGCTCTAGTGAAGTCCAATAAGAGCAATCCTAACTCCTTCTCCATGGAATTTGGAATTTGGTTCAGAAAAACGGGCTTGAGTAGATCAGTATATGCCGTTGATCTTTGTCTTCAGAGATTTCTTTAGGGACAGCCACGTAACTTTCACCCAAGGGAAATATACTGAGGACTCCAGGTCATAAATTTCTCTAAGTCTTTCCAAATAGTTATACAGGAAATGCATAGCTATGAATGGGGTTTCAAATTTATGTAGTCATTTTGACAACATGAGGAAGACTGTCTAAAGATCTTGTAGGATGTACAATTCCATATATACAATCCATATATGGAATTCCATATATACAGGATGCACTGTGGAAAGATGGGAAAATGGGATCTCTGACGACATCCTTGAGCTAAAACTCCTTCTTATTCTGGATCTTCCAGTTATATGAGCCAATAAGTCATCTTTATTGCCTAAGCTATTGTATACTGGTTTGTCTGCCATTTTCAACAAAAAGAGCCTCAAATGATACTTAACTAAATACAAGAGTTCTGCATTATGACCTTTTTCTTACAAATTTTCTCTCTCTACTATGTCATACTTTATTGATTACATTCCTATGCAATCTAACCATAACTCAATTTTTCACTGGACCATTTATTTTTCTCCTTTGTTAACACATTACTATAAAATTACTGGTTTATGAATAAAATATAACACCTATAATTTCCCCTCAGTTCAAGTCCAAATCACTAATCCAAGCTGGATTGGTGATTTCAATCCAGTTCAAGTCCAAATCACCAAATCCAAGCTGGATTACATTACTTTTGAGACTGGCAGTGAGGGGTGGGGCGGGGGTGTTTCAGGGGTTGAGAAGACGTTGATGTTGATCAAAAGATGCAAGGTTTCAGTTAGATAGAGAAATAAGTTTGGGAGATCTCTTGCACAACACAGTGACTAAAGTTAACAATATTTGTATTCTTGAAAAAATGCTAAGAGAGTGAATGCAAAAGGTTTTCACTACAAAATGATAACTACTAGAGGAAAGACATTTTTCAAGACTCTTACTTTCCTTTTACATAGCTTACCATAAAATAATTTTCTGGTGCTTTACAAAAACAAACAAACAAACATTTATTATCTGCCCAATAGTAAACACTTTGAGAATTGAATGATTTTTATTTTTTAATCAATACATTGCCATTTAATAGTATTTTTTAAAAGGCAAACATATTAATAATAATTTATATAAAAGTGTTAGGGGGGTAGACTTTGAATTTTCTCACCACAAAAATTAAGTATGGGAGGTGATAGATATGGTAATTAGCTTGATTTAATCATTCCACAGAGTAGACATATCAAAACATCACATTGTATTCCATATATACAATTATTATTTGTCAATTAATTTTTTTAAAAGCAAACATATAGTAAAGGGGAAGGACTATTCAAGAATAGAATAAAGTTTAATCAGGTTTCTTTAAGATAATTAGAATAGTTCAATAAAACCTGGTTGAATTGACAGATCCAACATAGGGAACTGAGATAAAGAAGTTTCTCGTGACACTTTCAGTTTATAGAACTTGGATGCACTTTTTCTCTTGTCAACAAACACCACGGACCAGTTTTATCATTGCTCAAAATTTCCTGGAATATGTCTTCACTTTTCTGGTGTCCTGAGTCCCTCGGTTGGGGGTGAAATTCACCTAAGTACATTTTTTTCCCATTTTGGCAATCAAATATCAATCAGATCTAGAAAAGTAAATTGGCAAATTCCAGAGTGTTTGCAAAACTATTATTATATTACAGAAAGTATATTTGTATTTTTACAACTTGAACCAGTTTGCCCAAATTGTTTAAAAGTGAAGGATGCCACCAAGGGATGCATTATTTACAGGAGTTGTGAAGGCATTAGGAAAACAGGCTTGCATTAAAGCACAGCTTTACGGCCGTACAAACAGTGTCTCTCTTGAAATGGAAATTGTTAATAAATCTAGCACTTTATAGCTTTGCCTTGTAAAAAGCTTTTTGAAAGGAGGAGGGATCATTTTCCCTTGATGGAACAGTGCTATCATTGTTCAGCTACAGCAAATGGAAGAATGACTAGGGAATCAGCAACGCACTAGTAATGTTTCAGACTGATGTGTTTTATCACCCGTGGAACTTGGATAAAACCCTCCTGGTCTTTTTAATACTCTTTCTTGGAGGCTGAACTTCAAATTTCTTCTTTTATGTGAAAGAAATTTAAAGAGACTTTAAACTCTGAGTGCATCAACCATGGCAGTGCTGTACCCAGCAGTCCTGACATCTGTGCAGGCCTTCTGTGTCTCTAGTAGCTTCCCTGCCACTGTGGGAAATGTGTCATTATCATCAGATAATCCTCCATGTGGAAAAACCCAGGGTAAAGCAGCTTCTGCCCTGTTAAGACAAGCATTTCTTAATAGCATACTTTAAAAATTATAATAGCCATGGGAAATTACAAAAATATTTTAAATAAATTATAGGTACTCCTCAGAATACAAACATAATTTCTATAGTTATGTGAGTTTAATGCCAAAAGAAAAAAAAAAAAGCAGCTTCTCAACCTAAATATATGAAAACTAAATGAGTATCAACCACGAGCAGGTATCGAGTCCCTTTAATAACTTGCTTGCCACTATGGCATCACTGTTCATATAGAGGATCACTCAGAATCTGAAAACAACCAACAACTTAACTAGAGATTAGGGACAGTCTATGTCTCAATATTTTCTGTGTAGTACATGCTATCATTAGCAAACCAATTTCTAAAATATTTTGTATTTCTTTCCTTTTTCTTCTGTTCATCACATAACCATAGACATATGGGACCAGTCTGTCAGAGAAACAAAGCTAGTAACTCATCATTTCTTTTGGTCTTTTCTTCCTATTTCTTTGAGAGCTTTAAATATTCACATACAAAAGAGACTACTGATAAAAATGATAGCCACTTCATTTTCATAACAATATATTTAGTGAAATAAAAGTTATTTAGAGGCCAGGCGTGGTGGCTCCTGCCTGTTATCCCAGCACTTTGGGAGGCCAAGGCAGGCGGATCACAAGGTCAGGAGTTCAAGACCAGGCTGGCCAATATGGTGAAACCCTGTCTCTACTAAAAATACAAAAATTAGCTGGCCGTCGTGGTGGACGGCTGTAGTCCCAGCTACTCAGGAGGCTGAGGCAGGAGAATTGTTTGAACCTGGGAGGCGGAGGTTGCAGTGAGCCGAGATCAGGCTACTGCACTCCAGCCTGGGAGACAGAGCGAGACTCTGTCTAAAAAAAAAAAAAAAAAAAAAAAAAAAAAAGTTATTTAGAGACACTAGTGAGATGTGCTTTGCCTGGCTCCTCTGACTTGTGTGCGAATGAAACACGTGTTACTGAGTTCTGTCAAAAATGGAAGAACCTCTCCTCCCATAAGAAAACATTAAAGGACAGTGAAGAAACCAAATAGGATATTTCCAGATCACCTGTCTCTGATTGTGTCATAAGTCTCAGGAGTTCAAGTCATGGCACTGGATTATTCATAATATCATACAAGAGAGGGCGAGTGGATGTGGAGAAAAAGAACAAATAAGTCTCGTAAAAGCACACACAGGTATTTGTTTTCTTTGGTCACAAAATGCAAGAAAGAAAATAGGAACTATTGTGACTGTAAATCACATTTTAAATTGGAGGCTGTCAAATTGTGCGGTAGAGTGGCAGTTCTTAATCTTTATTTAACAACAAAGGCCTCTTTAATGATATTTTCACTTTTCTCTCTGCGTCTGCATCTGTCCGTGCTTCCCCATGAGTTTGGGTCTAGCCAATTTCTGTCCAGCAGATTTCACTTCTAGGTCATAATTATTTTCTGTAGAAGCCAAAATGTGGGGGTGCTGCGTGCCATTCAGTCCTCTCAGTGTTTGTATCTATGCTTCCTCTAGGGTACAACTTCTTTCTCAGCCTTAGCAACACGTTCTGGAAGGATGCTATTATCTTTCCTGGCTTTAAGGTCATTAGGTCAAGCATAGGACACTTGAACCAAGTTTCGCTGATTATTGTACTCTCATACCAAGGATGTAAATATGATTTTTCCCTGAGGCATTTGTAAATTTTGAAGGCAATTTTTAAACCCCTAATTCTAATTTCAAGAGCTTGCAGTTTTTTGTGTTGATTTGTTTGTTTGTTTGTTTTTAAAGGGAGACTACGATTTTTCTCTCAGCCCTCGAGGAGCATCAGATGAAGATGGGTGGATCACTTTCAAGCTACAGCAGCCACCATTACCCAGGTGAGCTGTTTAGTCCCTTCTTCTGCCCCTTTTCTTGAAAATAATTGCTATAATTAGTCATTACTTCTAACATGTTGGACCTGAAAAAAGCTTGAGAACCACTGCCCTAAAGCTAAAAATATGAGCTCTAAGAAAACCATTAAAATTGTTAGATTCATTAATAATAGGAGTCCTAGAAAGTTTTTATTCAAGAAACTTGACTGTGCATTTCTGCTGATAATAGGGACACTATGCCACATACATTAAAATTAAGTAGAAAAGACCATTCTAAATATATAAAAAGTACTGTGAGAAAGGCAAAAGACAACTTCTGACTAATCTTGAAAATTATGAAGTTCTTCTTCTCCATTGCTCTTAAGATGGAGTTCATTTTTCTTAACATGGCTTATAAGGCCTTCTGCATACAGCCATTTCTTTGTCCTTTTCAAGTTCAATGCCAATTGCATTAAAATACTATTACATCCTAAAATAAGCCATGCTATCTTTTAACTCCTGGACTTTACATATACTTAAAAAAATCTGAATAAATCATCTCCATTGACTTTCACCAACTTCTTTTATTCTTCAGATCCTAGTTTAATTGATATTTCCTGTGAGAAGACTTTTGAAACTATGTCTCTTCCCCCCATTCCCTCACCTAATGATCCTCTTGTCCCTGTTGGCTCCAGGGAATTTTATATTGTAGCACTTACCGCAGTGATTAGAAATTTGGTTTGTTTTTTTTTTCCCTAGGCTTAGCTCAGCTGAAGAAATTTTTTTATTTGCTGGTATATGTCACTTTTTGGACAAGCAGTTGTAAACTTGGGCACCATACTGATATCATCTGGAGATCCTTTAAAACTACTCAAATGTTGGAGTCCTATCCCCAGATATTTCTATTTTTTTGGCCTGGAATGGGACTCAGATTTTGGTACTTCTTAAATCCGTTGGACGTTTCCAATATTTAAACAGGTTTGAAATCCACTGCATCAGATAAGAAACTCAAAATAATCAGGGTTCTCACTGATGTAACCCCAGTATCTATACATGGGTCTGGTCCTCCTCAGGTGGTATTCAAAAACAGTATTTGTGGGTTTCTTTTTCTTTTCTTTTTTCTTTTCTTTTTTTTTTTTTTTTTTGAGATAGAGTTTCAGTCTTGTTGCCCAGGCTGGAGTGCAATGGTGTGATCTTGGCTCACTGCAACCTCCACCTCCCGGGTTCAAGTGATTCTCCAGCCTTGCCTCATGAGTAGCTGGGATTACAGGAGCACACCACAACGCCCAGCTAATTTTTTATTTGTAATAGAGACAGGGTCTCACCATGTGGGCCAGGCTGCTCTCCAACTTCTGACCTCAGATGATCCACCTACCTCAGCCTCCCGAAGTGCTGGGATTACAGGCGTGAGCCACCATCCCCAGCTACAAACAATATTTGAATGAACAAATCTGACAAATGTTCTTGTTTAAGTTAATAGTAGAAACAGTGTAATGATCATTGCTCATTTACAAAAAGGTTTTATAGACAACAAACACTATCATTTCTATTTGCTCACTTCTTTGAGAATATTTTGGACAAATCAGGCAGTTAAATAAAACTGTAAATAAATAGAAAGATTTTGTGATACTAATTTCATGCTGAGATGTGTAAAGTGTGTAGTATTCTCTGAAAAAAAGTATAAACATCATTTGGTCCTTTGCACCAAACAAAGGACAAATATTTCTTCAAATGGTTACTTGGCCACAGGAATACTGACTTTATTATGTTTTTCAAGAGTAGCATTTATTTAACACACACACACCATACACACACACACACACACACACACAGACACACCATTATGAGACCACCATTGTATACGGGATTTGTTGTTGACCAAAACATTGTTATGGGACACATAACTATATTCACACACACGCATATATACACATTATATGTGTATATATGAACCTCATATATGGCACATAAGTGTATATACACATATATACACATATATGTGTATTTAAACCTTTATATGGCACATATGTATTCACACACATACATATGCCTCAGCCTCCCAAAGTGCTGGAATTACAGGCATGAATAACTGTTCCTGGCCAAAATGTTCACTTTTAAGCAGCTTTGCAAGAGATTCTGTCACCCACCAAAGCTTTAGGATCTCTGCCCCACTGGAGGGGCCATGAGCTGAATTATAGAATGCATAAATACACATATATGCATGTGTGTATATATATAACAATACACATATTTTTTTCTACCTTTCCACATGTTTTTGAGGCAAGATGATTCTCTTCAGTTTATTAAAACTTTAAAAATAGCTCATGCTGGAAGTTAGTAATACGGGTATAGCAGTTAGTGTTTTCTCTGGGTCAGAATACAACTTTCAATAATGAATATCTCCTTTCATGTCATATCGATTATATTTTATTCATTTTCAAATGGCACTTGAGGTAAAACTCTAATTTGATTTGTCATTTCAATTGAGAAAGGTATTGAACCAGAAATCAATCACCCACTGATCGTTATTAAAATATCTTCCCACTACCATGAATAACTTAAGCCCATTACAGATTCTTACTTTTAAATTTTAAGTTAGAGATAATATAAAAAAAATCAACTTCATCATAGTTATTCGTATAATTAATTAATTAATATAATTAATATTTTCATATTTAGTAGATGTCAGGTATTATTTTTGGTACTGGTGATACAACAGTAAAAAAAAAAAAAGAAACAAAATTATCTCCTCTTAGGAAAGTAACTTGCTGGTCAGAAAAGGTTAGCAGAGGCAAATAATAAAGAATAAATTAATTAACTTTTTATTAGAAACCATAAATACAGACTAGAAAATTAAATAGGCAATAGGCATAGAGATGAGTGCTATTTTATGTATGTATTTTATTGAATATCATGTGCAGAAGACTAAAAAAAGACTTATGAATTCATGTCAAACTATCTCATTGATATGTCTTGCTCTTATCTTGTTTCATTAATGTATTTATTCCATTTATTCACTCTCCCATTGCCATATTCTTATCTAAAAGCAACTATTATAATATGTTCAGTGTATATCATACTGTTTGTATATGTTCTTGTAAACTATTTTAATAGGATGATTTAATTGCAGTGAACCTATAGATATTATTTCCTTTCTCACTTTTTTTTAAACCTAGCCTAGTGATTTTCTACATATGCATATAGTCATCCATACTACAGAGTACATTCACCAATTTTACTTATCCTTTCTAGAGGTGCTGATTAGTATAAGAAAATCAAGAAAGGGCTCTTGGATAGGGTGGTAAAGTATATATATGAAGTCTGTGCAAAATTATGATTTTTCTATCACTGTGTTTTGAATCATAGAGTCTCAACATTGAACTTAGATTCAAAGGTCATCTAGTAAAACCCAATCTTCAATGCTTGCCTTTCCTGTATAAGAGATTGGCCAAGACAGTGCATGTGAATACAGTACTTGAACATATACAGTGATACTGACTGGAAAATAGCCTAATGCAGAGTTTGACAGTTATGACTACTAGTTTTTTCTTATTATTAGAGAAATATAGCTGATGAAAAATAAAAGTGGGTAGGATGACTAGCAAATGAATGTCTAAGTAAGAAGAAATGCTAACATGAAACAGCTTTACGAAAATAGAAATGAGTTAACAAGGAAGTTCAGCTGGAAACAGAGCCTAGAGTGGGACAAAAGATTTCAGAAGACCACGAGTCCAAAGCATTGTTAAGAGTAGTGTTCCCACAAATTTTAAGGGTAAAGTAAGAAACAAAATTATGTAATTTCCAAAACCAAAGACATGTTATATGTAATGTTTGTTCTTAGATTTGTATCCAAAAGATAATATAATTAGGTTGATTATACACCCTAAAATTATCTTTAAACCATCTAGGAACTCACTATCTTGCAATATGAACTGTGATGTGAACAAAGCAAGGTTTCCTTTCTCATAGATATTTTCAAGAGACCAAATGAGGAAATGGGACTTGTTAAAATTAAAGTGTTAAAGTTGTGCTGCATAAAGGGTGTAAAGGACTTGGGTGAAGAACTTAGTTTTCATTAGCTAGCCAGAGAAAAGGCAAAATTGCAAGGTCTTCTCTAAGACTAAGTGAGGAACTAATCTGTACATCTCTGCTCTCACAGTGCCTTTCAGAAGAACCAAAGATGTACCTCCAGACACTTTTTTAAAGAGGAAATAATATGTAGCACTACAGTTATTACTGCCAAGTAGTCTCATATTTGTAAATGGAGGTTGTGAGAGTAGCGATGAAGTTACGATATGTCAATATCAGCGATTGTTTTAAAGGAAGTCTAAATGATGAAACCAATTAATAAGTCTATCATAGAAAGTGAGGCCTTCTAATTCATAGAAAAAGTTACAATTAAGAAAGCCAATTAGGACTTGTTAAGAATAACGACTATAGGACAATACAAACAATATTTAAAAAAAACTAAAGCCTTTGAGAAAGATAAATACAAAAGAAATAACAAAACAGCAGCAGCATTCTCTACCAGACATAAACAATTTCATAGACTTTTAACAATAATAAGGCAAAACATTCTGTGACATGATGACACTAAGCAAAAACAAGACCACTCTATAAAGATATACGAATATAAGAAAAATATAAAGATACTATAATACTATTAGAAAATCTCCACTCCCCCAAAATATGAGAGACTACTGCTTTTTTTTCTTTTTTACCAAGGACAATTCTAGCTCTGTTTCATTCCTCACACCTCCTAGACCAAAAACATTTTAAAGTTTCCAATTAAGAAGTATAAATATTCAAAAGGATAATTGACCCGCTTCCTGACAGAATTTAATCCAAAACAGACCCTCCCAACCTTTCTTAAGCCCTTCCTTATATCACTCAGCAAAAGCCCAAACACCATGTTAAGTACATTTCAACTCTTTCTTAGTAAGACAGCGCACAGATCACAATGGTGTATTGTCTCTCTTCCTGCAAAAAGTTAATAAATCGAATTCTGTTCACTACTAGCTAAATCATGTAAAACAAGCTGTCATTGTGCATCATGAGAATAGAAAGGATTTTTAACTGTTGGAAGCCTCTGTTCTGATTTGGAAATGTAGGAATTAATTACCATATTCCAGGTGCTATTTTTATAACATTCATCGAATAAGGGCATCAATCTCAGTTCAGTACCTATGTTACTTCCTCCTTTGTACTCACATTAGGGGTAAGCGACTGGGGTAAAGTCTATTTACTGTGCTGGAAATCACTTCCTGCCATTTGGCATAAGTACAGGATTCTGACCACAACATGGGCAGATAATCCCTGATAAAGTGGGTCAAGGATACCTTGACTAGACTTTGTCATTGTTAGACATCTGAGATAACTTGCTTTCAAAAGTAAACTACAAGGACAATTTTATAATTGGCCTGTATAATTTTATAAAACTGAACTTCAATGTTCAGTTTTAAACACTTTTACCTCCCACTACCAAGAGAATACCACGTCACTGACAGGAGTGTCCCTTCAACCTGGTCTTAGAAGAAGAAGATGCATGGAACAGATCTCACCTTCATCATGTTTTGGAGCAGAACCTCAGTGAATTGTGGTCCTCAGTTAACATAAACAAGAAATACATGTCTATTGTTTTAAGCCCCTTATATTTTGGGATTGTTGATTCTGTCAGCAGAAGGTCATTGATACATTGGGTCCCTGGAACAAAAGGTACACTGAGACTGGAACATGAGGTCAATATTCTTCATATGCAATATCCAAATTATAACTTTTATAATCGTACAATAATATTTGTTCCTTTGTGAGTCATCCTACCTCGCTGAAACTATCTCTTTTTCCTTGCATCATCCGCAAGTTTTTTGGTGCTTTTGATATATTCATTATATCTTTGGTAAATGGGTCATTGTTATTTTTTTCCAACTCAAATCCAGTTGCAATCCAGGTAATTTTATGATCCAAGTCGATATTCCATTTGTGGTAGATTAAATATGGTTATAATTTTTAAAATATTTTTTATTAAGTAATTCAGCTTTTTAATTTAAACTGGCCTTTTGACTGTGACCAACAGAATATGGTGGAAGTGACTATGTGTGCTTTCTAGGATTGAGACCTCAAGAAGTCTTGCAGCTTCTGACTTCACCAACATGGAACATTGCCCTAAAACTGCAGTGTAAGGAAGCTAGTATAGACTACTGGAGGGAGAAAACAGGGTTTCTCAGACAAAAGCCAACCCCAAATTCCAGAATTCCAGATACATGGGAAGTCACTCTTATATTTTTGTAATTTTGTAAATTTGTAATTTTGTAAATCACTGTTGTATTTTTAAGTCACTATATTTAGGGATATTTGTTGCAAAACAATAGATTAACAAAAATATCATCCAAGAACTTTGATTTATTGTTCTTTAATAAACTCCATCTCATTAAGCTTCATTCCTCAATACTAGCTCCTGACTATACTCTCTAACTTGTTATTATCTAGACTCTTCTATCCCTGATAATTTCACATCAAATATTTCACTCCTCCTGCTGTAACTGTTAATTCTTCCATTTTCTATTATACTTTCATCACTTTATTTCTCCTTTTTTTTTTTTTTTTTTTTTTTTGAGACAGACTCCCACTCTGTCACCCAGGCTGGAGTGCTGTGGCGTGATCTACATTCATTGCAACCTTTGCCTCCTGGATTCAAGCAATTCTCGTGCCTCAGCCTCCCGAGTAGCTGGGATCACAGGCACGTACTACCACACCCAGCTACTTTTTGTGTTTTTAGTAGAGACAGAGTTTCACCATGTTGGCCAGGCTGGTCTAGAATTCCTGACCTCAAGTGATCCACCCGCCTTGGCATCCCAAAGGGCTGGGATTACAGGCGTGAACCATCACGCCCGGCCTAGCTCTCCATTTTCTTCAGATCTAGTTTCCTTTTGATTCCTCTTCTTTACTTTTCCAGCCTGAAAACAAAAGTTGAGCACCAGAACCATTTTCCTGCTAGTATCGTGGATGTTCCATGGCCATTTGCCCATCAAAACCTTCACCGTGTATCAACACATTCATTTGGCCTTCTTCATTCTTTCAGAGTTTTCTATTGCATTTGGTGGCACCAATATTTACATGATGATCTAAGTCTGGAGGTCACAAATGATATCTCTTTTACACTCATTTCCTTTTTACCTCACCGACCAGACATTAAGTTCCATATTATCTTACTTTTTATTTTTTTTATTTTTTGAGACTGAGTCTCACTCTGTCGCCCAGGCTGGAGTGCAGTGACGCGATCTGGACTCGCTGTAAGCTCCGCCTCCTGGGTTCACGCCATTCTCCTGCCTCAGCCTCTGGAGTAGCTGGGACTACAGGCACCTGCCACCATGCCTGGCTAATTTTTTTTGTATTTTTGTAGAGACGGGGTTTTACCGTGTTAGCCAGGATGGTCTTGATCTCCTGACCTCGTGATCCGCCGGCCTTGGCCTCCCAAATCTTACATTTTTATATACATTGAAAAACTGAGACCAAGGGAAGTTAATTAAGTAGTGAATAGCTTCAAGGAAAATAAATGTTTGAGCCAAGGTTCCGATGTATCTGATGCCAAAGGCTTTGTGCTGTTCATTTAGTCAAAATGATTTACTTTATTTTATTTTTAAATTTAATATTATCTTGCAGAGAAAACAAATGTGAAGTTAGAAATAGATGTGCTGAAAATAGCAGACATTTTTCAACTCTGAAATTGGACCTCTGACTATTGGTCATTAGAGAAAAAGAATTAGAGTCTATTAAATTCAATTGTGTCATTAACCAGTTAGCGAATTGCAAATGACCTTCTGATCTGATTTCTAAAGGGTTCTGAAAAACAGTGAAATGTTTCGATAACTTCCTCAAATATTACTTTTTCATGCTTCTGGATTATATGACTGATAGTTAAAATTGAATTTAGAAAGTAATACTAATGTTATTTGATTTGATATGTAATATTTTGCATGTTTCAGAGGAAGCATATGGTTAAATTCCTGAGGCTTGTAAAGATAAAACTGTATTTGTGAATTTTAAAAACTGTAATCATAATGTAAAAATTTATATTTTATTATGTTAACAAAATATGGACATATTAATGAAATAATTGTATATATTATTTTGTTTTTATGCTTAGTTTCTGAAATTAAGAATGATGAAAAATATCAGTTAATTTTTTTTTTTTTTTTTTTTTTTGAGACGGAGTTTTCCTCGTTTCCCAGGCTGGAATGCAGTGGCGCTATCTCAGCTCACTACAACCTCCACCTCCCAGGTTCAAGCGATTCTCCTGCCTCAGCCTCCCAAGTAGCTGGGATCACAGGCATGCATCACCACGCCCAGCTAATTTTGTATTTTTAGTAGAGACAGGGTTTCTCCATATTGGTCAAGCTGGTCTTTAACTCCTGACCTCAGGTCATCCACCCACCTCGGCCTCCCAAAGTGCTGGGATTACAGGCATGAGCCACCACGCCCGGCCTTTTAATTTCAAATGAATAAAAATGGGGAAACATGAAAGATGGAGCATAGGATATGGGGTAATCAGCCTCCAAGATGTCCCTTTGGGCCACCTACTCTTATTCTCTATTGACCCTTCATTATTTTCTTCTCTTATCTTCTGCTTTCAATAGTCCATCCAGTTTTGTACTCTATTTGTTAGGCTTTTCAGGACAAGAACCTCAAATTATAACCTGAACTATATGAGATGGAGTTTCGTTCTTGTCACCCTGGCTGGAGTGCAATGGTGCGATCTCGGCTCACTGCAACCTCGGCCTCCAGGGTTCAAGCAGTTCTCCTGCCTCACCCTCCTGAGTAGCTGGGATTACAGCCATGTGCCACCATGCCCCGCTAATTTTTGTAGTTTTAGTAGAGACAGGGTTTTACCAAGTTGGCCAGTCTGGGCTCAAACTCCTGACCTCAGGTGATCCACCCACCTGGGCCTCCCAAAGTGCTGGGATTATAGGCGTGAGCCACTGGGCCCAGCCCTCATTGTCAATTTTTATTTCAACTGGTTTATCTCTCAGATGCCATAACACTGGACATTGATTTCCCTTTTAAGTAATTGGTAACAAAACAAAACAAAATAAAAACTTTATGCCGTAAGCAATTTTTTGCTTTATAACATTAGATAAACTGTTTGATTGAGGATTTTGTAGGTAAATCTAGGCATAGCGTGTGTACAATATGAATTAGACATTTTAAATCAGAACATCACAAGATATATAATAAAGAAAAAAAGTGCGTCCTATTCTATAGCTTCATTAGGCACTGATTTCCAGCCAAGCTTTTTTTTTTCACATTTTCAACATGGTCTTAAATGGCAAGCCTGCTGGCCATCACTGGTGAGTTTTCACACAGATGGGGAATTATCCCAGATTTTCCCCTCTCCAAGAGGTTGTCCGTTGTGCCAGGTACATGGCATATTCACTACCTTCCTTTAGATTGTTTTAACACTCTGTGTCTTGATGTTTAGCATCACTTCAGTTACACTTTGTGATTCAGTGACATGTGTGTTACACTCTAAAACAGTAGTTTCATTTTCTTTGCACTACAGCTTAAATGGTACCACTTTTTTTTGTTTCTTTACGTGTGCTCTCTTTGATCACAGTAATAATGATGTAACGGTGATCAAAGTAGAAAAAACAGAACCGTTTTAAATGGGTAAAATATAGTAAAATGGAAACTCACATACATAAAGATCAAAACTGAATAAGCTTTTTGATTAAATGTTCTCCAATAGGATGTATCATAAGTTTGTGAAACAGTGATGTGAACTGCTATGCTGTAAGATTAGTTTTTCATAAGCATGGAAGGCTGTGCTTGTTTCAGCCATTTTCCATAACAATAAATAGAAATGTATTTTTCTCTAGTCTACCTTATGTGGATTCTCTTTCGCTCCACTTGTATTGTCAATAATTCTGTAGGGTCTCATCCTCACTTACAGCATTTTGTACTTCACAATTAACCATGTGTACATAAATTTGTATACTCAAAGACACAAACACACACCATCGAAAATGGGCAGAAGCCTGTTTAAACTTAGCTGTCTAAAGGGAAAATGACAGTATCGAAGGTTGTAGAAATTATGCTTCATGCCTTATACATTTTTCTTTTGGTATGGGGTGTGTGTTTTATATTAAATGTATGTAAACTAAAACCATTTGGAAAGAAAGTTAAAAATAGCTTGTGATCTAAAATAAAAATTACTCAAGGTGAAACTAAAATTTGGAAAAAGTCTGACACTGACAGACTGATCTCTGTAAGCAGAGTAATATTTTTTTTTCTCCTTAATATTGGATATCAAAGTTAATCTGTAACTCCATCAAATACGTTTAATTCTATTTTAGTTCTCCACTAAGAAATTAGCCCATCTAGTCCTTACTCCAGATTACTGAAGTCATGTAAGATCACTGAACAGTAACAACATTTTATTTATATAATAAACCCTCAGATCTAACTTACTATGAGTCATTACTCAAAGTACACTTGTTGCAGTGAATCTTAGGAATCAATATAGGCTATGTTTTATACACACAAGTACACATATGTATAATTATTTCAGGGACTTATGTATAATTATTTCATATATATAGTATATGTATATATTTTTAAGTTGTGTGTATATAATTATGCTATAATCTTTAAAATTTTTACATTAAAAATGGATATAATTTGAATATAGAATGATACCTACTTTAAAATATCTTTAATCTTTATTAGTTAACTTTTCTTACCTCTTTCAACAAAGATTTCTTCACTAGGTAAGGATCTATATGTGGTATAAAAAACATGCATCTCCTTTCTCATAAAAACAAACAAATGAGCAAAAATAGAAACTTGATGAGTCAGACTGCCTCTCTTCAACAGAGGCTGCAGAGCCAATTACCCTGAGCAGAGCAAGCTATTCCCGATCTGGAGCAGCGCCCTGCCTCTCTGACAGCTGCTGGAAATCAAGTGCCACGAATACCCTGGAGGCTTCTTCTCCCAAACACTGTAGGAGAATGAGTAGGGAAACAAAGACCCACAGGCACTACTCTTTTATTATCTTTTGCCATTATCTAAATTTCATAATATTCTAGTCTTCTCCAAAGTTCAGAAACTCATTTCAGCTTTACCACGAGAGTCTTTTACAAACTGGACCTGACCAAATATAACCACCAATTATTATGTGTAAATTGTGACAGAGAGTAGCAACAATATCCTTCACCCTCACTCATGCCTGGCTCTAGAGGGTATCTATTCCATTTCTGTAATTTTATGCCAACTCTCTGATCCAAATGATAATTAGATGTGACAATTAGTAAATGTGATTACATTTAAACAAAGACAAAGAACTTCAAAGATATTGTAACTTTTTATGACATTTCTATAATATAGCACGAACACTTGAATTGCTCAACAGCAGCAAATCTTTATCTTTTGAAGGTACGTGTTCAATACTTTGGAATTTGGGAAGTGTTCAATACTTCTTAAGAGTCAAGCATAGCAATTACAGTATGTGAATAATTTCAGCAATTTAGTCAATTGAAATGTGACTACAAAATTTTTCTTTGCGACCTAAAAACTTGCGATCCTTGAATGTTTCTCCATCAATCCAAAAGATGATTTTCAAAAACATTTAGTGCAATGGTGACATTTCAGAAAATTAATCCAAAGATAACCTATTGTGTACAGGAAAATTGATACCAAGCCTTCTCAATTCCACAGAAATAGTTTATGACAGAGCTAAGCTTTCCTGACTCTCAGGCTTTCTTCATTTTGCTACATCTTTTGATTCCTCCAAATAATCTAAAATATAGTTTTTATCTTGTTTCACATATGAAATTCCTCTGTTTGGTTAATCAAACTCTTCAACACCTTTTCAACTGCTTTGTCAAGATTTTTTCTCCACCTGGTAGATTTAGGTCCCAGATGAATCCTCAGGAAAATCTACACTATGTAATGACATAACTTTGGCCTGTTATCTGTCCTCACAGAAGTTTTAACTTTTTTCTTCATTGCATAGCTCACTGGTGTAATTTTTTTTTAAATTAGCTAGTAAATATCTGCTTCTTTCTAGATTGTAAATTCCAAAAGAAATATTGATTCTCTTGTTTACTAATATATTTCTACCACCTAGCATACTGCCTGGCAGATATAAGTATTCAATAAATATTTGCTGAATAAAATAATCAACTTCCACCTATTTTGGATAATGGAAAAATAATAAGGACTATGGGATTCTGGGATAATTTTTACCTCCTTTCTACCATTACTTTGGTGTATTTTAATAAGCAAATTTCAAATGTTTCAACTGTATTTTGAGATAATTTATCCAAATTTTTAAATCTATTTTTATATTTATAATATATTAGGCAAATACATATTCATTGAGAGTATCTTACAATTATATCAAGTTTGGAAGAACATATTATCAGCAAATAAACTGCCATTCTATGGACAAGCAATTAATATTCCCAATTACTGTTGGAAAACTGGTATAATTAGGATTCAGTGTAATGCCAGGGTTAAGAGTGACTACAAAGGTGTCTGACAGACATGGACTGTGACCAAGATGGCCTTAACATTACTTTCAGCTTAACTAAATGTTACAAAGGTTCCTTCTTGACTGTATATCTACTTTAGAGCATATATTTTAGAAAATTTGCAATTGCACTTTATTTATCTGCTCCTTTGAAATACATATATATATATTATATATAATATATATTATATGTTATATTATATATATTATATATATATAATTCTTCTCCCAGCCTCTTGTCAGTTTTATGACCCAGTGAACGTCTTTGTGGAGGACTTGGAATCATGTCTTTGAAATATAATCAGCAAGCAGGATAGCATTCCTTTTTCTCAGACTCTGTGGCAGGGAAGGGTCTAACTTCCATGGGTGCCAAAATACAGATGGCCTAATCTTAGACAAAAACTTTTGCCAATTGTGGATTAATTTAACATGCTGAACACATTCCCTTCCCCACCCTCTTCCCTGACATTCTCCAGTGTTTTTGCACTAACTCACCCTACTGCTTAGAAACTCTTACGTTTTGTTACAGCGATGTGAGTTCACTCTCTCTCCCCTATTGCAATAGCCTTGAATAATTCTTCGTCGCCTGTTTAATTATGTCTGGTGCACTATTTGCTTTGGCAACACAAATCCCATGTAAGAAATTTAGTAACCATGGGAACTAGAACAAGTTGTTTTCCTTCTAAGCACTTATTTTCTGACTAATACAACAGGAAGTATGTATGCTGTAGTCTTACGATAATTATATGTGTAAAGTCCTCAACCTACACAGTGTTCAATATGTTATAAACACTGATTATTAACTTATTTAATAAAGCTTATGAAATAATTGTCAGTATATGATCTTCTATTGAGTGATTGTTTAGGACTGAAGATAAAGCTTATATTTTCAATTTTTTTTTTTTTAATTTAAGACAAGAGTTGCACTATGTTGTCCAGGCTGGTCTCAAACTCCCGGGCTCAAGTGATCCTCCTGCCTCAGCCTTTCAAAGTGCTGGTATTACAGGTGAGCACCACCACACCGGGACTCCAAATAATCTCAAAGTTAAAATAACTGTGTACATCTAAAACTAATGTGGATTTATTTTATCTTCTGTCTGAGAGTTCTGAGTAGCATACTCAAGGGTACTCTAGAATAACCTAATAAAAATTAAATTTTTACAATTATTCTAAATGAATTGATAAAGGGGAATATGGTAATAGTAAAATGGGGGGAAGAAAACAAATTTAATTAGTTTTGTGGCCATCTGATTTGGGCAACAATATTATTATGATTCCAGTTTTTTCAAGGATTGTAGTCTCATCAAAATCTCTTAGAGAATAGGATCTTGAAAGATGAAAGATAAGGTCCAAATGTCTATTGCAAGCTGCTATCAGAGAATATCATTAGCTTTAATTTAACAGAGGTATTCAGAAAATTAAATTTCAGGAATTGGGATAGCCTTAATAAAGTGCTTAACAAAAAGCCAAGTCCATTATTTGTTATCTAAGTATTATGGCAATGAACTCTTTGAAACCTTCACATTTCTTCTAATTACCTCAAATGAGTCACAGCCTATGATATTCATAGCTAGGTACTGGTGTTCTTAATTCATTCAATTTCTTCTTTTAATTCCAATATTCATTAAATCTTCTCTCTCTCTCCACCCATCCTACCTCCCTCTTTCTCTTGTGATCAGGTACACTCTGAAGTTTTCTCCTATAGCTAGCTGGATAATGTTACTTATTGCTTCTTTAGAAATTACTGATCTTACTACATTTTCCATGCCAATGTTACTCAGATAACAATGAGTATCAGATTCATTCTTTCAAATAAGCACTGTCATTCTTTCCACCTGCTATCATATCTGACCTGTATGCTAAATTGCATCCCATAAAATGCTCTCCCTACACACAAAAATAAATAATGAAAGAAAGCACTGTGTTCTCTTAACATTATCAATTCCAACTTCAAGGCAGAATTTTCCTTTCACATTCATAGAATCTAATGCCAGGCAAAGCTATAATTACAGAGGTTTCTTTTAATGTTTCTTTAAAAAAAAAACTGTTTCAAACCATTTAAATTTCATGAATAGTTGTTTTTAAATTTTCCAATTTAGTACAGTCAATGGATTTCACTTTCCAGCATAATTATGAATTGTTTGAAAGTGTTCTGAACTGACAGCAGCCCCTATGTTGAGTGACAAGGCAGGTTCTGTAAAACAGCAACTACATTATATTGGTTATTTGTCTCCTCACTGTGCTAAAAATTTCAGGTGATTAAATCCTTAAAATGTATTTTAGAATTGGGTGATTAAATCTTGTCAGATCATTTTAAACCTTTAGAGGCATAATACCATAAAAACATTTTAATATCTTTGATTCTATTCTATCAAAAACAAATTATTTTTCCAATATAAATATCCCCAGCTTACGATGAGCCCTATCTGTCGATATCACAATATGACAGCATTCAGACACTTGTTAACTGCAAAGGCACCGAATCTGCTATTTGTCACTAAGCAACATTCAGAAACAATTTCCCCTTTTCTATTATCATGCAAAATGCGTTCAGGACAAAAAATGCACACAGAGAAAATTACTCCTCTGGCGAGATATTTTGACACAAAAAATCTTTCCTTATCAAAGATGAAAAGCACCTTGTCACTCACTTCTAATTACCGCCTCATTTCTGTCAATGTAGAGAGATGCCAACTCCCTGTGGCGACGTCACAGAAGCATTTACCAAGATGCAGAGTTGAATTTGGCCTGTGAGCAGTATTCACTGAACTCAGCTGGGTCTTTGGCGATACACACTGATGGGTGATTTTTAATTATAACTATTAATCTTCTTTAAAGTCAAAGAAAGGACATTTTGTCTTTTTGCAAAAATATTTGCTATTTCATCTTTGATATCAGTGGAGACCTTCCTTCCCCAGTCTTTTCTGAAATGCCTATGGCATTAAAGTGTAATGATTACCAACATTCATACTACAAGAATCAATTTCGAGAGTTGTAAACTTATTAAACATTAAAATAAAGCATTTCCTGTTCTGTGATTGTGATTAATATCCATAACCAAATGAGTTGGGCAGGAATGAAGGGGTGTGAAGGTTGAGAAGAGCAGTAGCAAAATCGTTAACCACATGTGGAAATCACTTCCTTACAAGAATTATAATTCCGGCCACTCACTTGCAAAAGATTTTCCAGGCAAGGCATTATGAAACAGAGAAACAAAATAATCATTAGTGAGCAAACCAGCAACAATATTAAGGCTTTCGGTAATTCCACTTTGTATTGAAGCCAGGTTCCAAAGGGTTTTACAAGGAAGATCTGTTAGTGATGAGGATGGATGGGATGCTGGAGCCTCAGGGCTTTCCTCTGACAACTTTAAGTTCATGACACTGTTGCTAAAACTTTCTGTAATACTCTTTCCCTTAGGCTGATCCTGAAAGAAAATAATTTCTAAGGAAAACCATCCATAACACATCACCAGAAAAGTAAAGGAGAAAACTTGCTTGCACTCCCTGATCATAATCTCATTGCTATTTTCATTGATCTGCCATTTTTATTTCAAATCAATTATACTATGTTTGATGAGCTGTGTCTCAAAAATAGCATAATATATCCATTCACTAAATGTTTACTAAGAGACTGTTACGTTTCAGTTCCTAAACTAGGCATTGGAAATACCAAAATGAATGAGAAACAATCTGTGTTCTTAAGAAGTTAAAGTTACTGCATATTATATCTTGTTTATATAGAAACATACTATCAGAATTACAGTTCAGATAATAACCAATTTCTTATACCAAGAGAGCATTTATTACACTGTTTGAAATGAAATGAAATGAAATGAATTGGCCAGATCATTCAGCATATTCCCAGCTTTAATACTGGAGTGGCTCTAAGCCTCTCTAAAATTGTTTTCTCTTCTCTCCACATGTTCTATGAAACAGCATGGTAGAGTAAAAAGTCCACAAAATTTGAATAAGGAGGCCTAGATGTAGGCTTGTGCTATACCACTTTCTAAAAGTATGAAGTTGGAAAGACTCTATTTTGTCTGTTTGAACAATGTTAACTCATTTGTGGCATATTTATTATATGCTATGCATGATGCTAAATGCGTATGTCTTTTTCAACAAATCCATATAGCCACTCTATGAGAAATGTATTGTTATCATACTCATTTTAAAGATGGGAAAAGGAATTGAGATTTAGAGTGATTAAGAATATTGTACAGTATCAAAGCACTAAGTAGCAGAGCTAGGGAGCAAAGTGAAGCCAGATCAATTTGACAGCCAAACTCAGGCATGCTCTTAACTTTCATGTCACTTGGCCTTTTCCTGTTGGTCTAATTTAGATCCTTAATTAGGTTTTTTATTCCATTGCACCTAAGCAGATGCAACAGCCTCTATAGTACTGTCTCTGTATCTCCAATCTTTTCCCTTCAAAGCCATCCTTATTCAGGTACCAGAGTGATCTATTTAAGACGTGAATCTGACCACATTCCACTGCTGCCCCAAACCCCTCAACAGCACCTGTGGATCTTTTAGGAGGAGAAATTCCTCAAAGTATAAATACTCACCTTCTACATGGCTCACTTAACTCCTGCCAAGGTCATGAAGCTCAACCAATCTTCCTTCTCCATTTCTCCTCCAGCAACTTCACTACCATAATCAATGATTTAATCGTACCGACAAATGAAAGTATCTTATTCTTATGAAATAAATGGAGAGTTTTTTAAAATTTTCAATCAATTTTTTCACGAACCTTTATACTTTGATATTATGAACAGTATTAATGGTTAAAATGTAACATAGTTTTGAATCTTTGCTTGTTCTGTGAACTAAATGGATGATAGAGAAAGGCAAGGTCTTGCTCATATCTCTTTACTCAATTATCTAATCCATTTCCCCTGACCAAATTTTAGATAAGAGCCTGGAGTTACCTTTAGCAAGGAGGTAAGCTTAAATGAAAACATTTAAACAACACTGTGTGTACTTCAGTGAGCAAAATATGCTAAATATATGTTAGATAAGCTACAAAAATTAGCATATTATGCTAATCCTACAACCACTTGAGTATTTGAGTGAAAATATGAATGTATTATTGCAGTGAACTGTGATACTTAAGGAAGTTAATATAGCATATTGATATTTCTGAGCTGTTCAAATGAGTGATTTAATTTAGCTAACACCATCTAATTAAAAAATAAACACAATTATCACATGAATTAAAATCTTAATTTATAAAAAACCTTTTTCTCTTTATTGTATCAGTCATAAATTTTATCAAAGCTTATTTTGTTTCCTTTCTGTCTAATTTCTGTGGCATTTTTAGATGGATATTTGTTATTTTAAAACACAAAAAATCTTGATTCTTTTCAGTGAGTAAAATGAGCTGAAAATTGATAGACTTTTATTCACCTTTGCTCCAATTATTTTATAATTACACTCTAATTATTTGAACATGTGAGGGAAAGAGAATTTTTGTTCTCTGTTTCTCAAGGAAAGAAAACAGGACTAGTGATAGCGTCAAGATAACACAGCAAGTGATAAATCTTGGAAAAACGAATTTTCATAACTATGAAAGATTATTGCTTACTTATAACTGCAATGAAACTTATTATTTGTTCACAATTATTGGTTTGCTTTTTTCTCACTGTCCTGTTTTCCTACCCTACTGATCTTTAGCATGGCCATGGGATTTATTTTGTTTGACCCGTGAAATATGGACAACTTTGGTACAATTAGTAGGCTAATCCCTAGGAAAAGGATTAGAAAAATTGTGCTTGTTTCTGTTTGCCTTCTTGGTGCTGTCCTCTGATAGTAGAGAACATCATGTTCCCAACAGTTTTGTCCTTCATCATGACTGCTAGAGAAAGAAGAAATAGGGAACAGCTTGAAAATCTCACAGACCCCAGCACTCCTGCAGCAACACACATCTGATGTAAATGTGAGTATCAAATAAACTTGGTATTGTAACATTTAGTTTCTTATCTTGCAGCATAACCTAGTAAAAGTTGATTAATAGTATATTCTGTCAACTTAGAAATTTATGTCAGATTCTACATTTTATTTAACAAACTTTTGAGAAATTACTTAAGCAGTAAAAGACTTGTAAAAGAGCTAGTCAATCAAAAAGAATAAAATACGTAGGGATAGTTTCACCAAGGAGATGAAAGCCTTATTTTCTAAAATTATAAAATATTGCTAAAAGAAATTAAAGGTGACATAAGTAAATGGAAGACATCTGTGTTCATGGATTGGAAGAAAATATTGTTAAGAAGATAATGCTTTTCACAGCAATCTATAGATTGAGTACAATCCTTATCAAAATCCTACGGATTTTTTTTTCCCACAAACTGGAAAATACATCAAAAAATTCACATGGAATCTCAAGCGGCTTTGAATAGCCAAAACAATCTTGAAAAAGAAAAATAAAGTTGGAAGACTCATGCTTTCTGGTTTTAAAACAGTGCACGGCTACAGTAATAAAAACAGTGTGGCACTGTCCTAAGTACAGACCTACAGAATAGAATATACAATAGACAGCATAGAAATAAACTTTACACATATGCACAATTTGTTTCTGATAAGTTAGCCAAGACCATTCAGAGAAAGGACAGTCTTTTCAATAAATGGTTTTGAAAAAAATTGAATATCCACATCGAAGATAATGAAGTTGGACCTGTACTTTATATCGTATGCAAAAATTAACTAAAAATGTATTAAATACCTAAGCATAAGAGCTAAAACATTTTTTCACCAAAAGGATGCTTAAGAAAAAAAAAGCTAAAACTATAAAACTCTTAGAAGAAAACATATAAAGCTATCTTCATAACCTTGGGTTTGTCAATTATTTTTCAGATATGATACCCAAAGCATAGACAACTAAAAAAAATAGATAAATTGTTTTTTATCAAAATTAAAAACTTCTGTGCATCAAAGGATACCATTAAGAAAGTGAAAAACAACCCAGAGAATTGGAGAAAATATTTGTCAATTATGTATCTCATAAGGAATTTTTATCTAGAATATATAAAGAACCTATAACTCAACAATAACAAAATAAACAACCCAATTAAAGAATGGGCAAAGGACTTGAACAGACATTTCTTCAGAGAGTATATGTAAATAATCAGCAGCATATGAAAAGCTGCTCAGCATCTTTAGTCACTAAGGGACAGCAAATCAAAACCACAGTGAGATCCCACTTTATACCCATAAGCTTGGCTATTATTAAAAAATAATATAAAATAAAATAGAATATAACATGTGTTATTAGGAATAGAAATTAGAACACTTGTGAGTTGATAGTGGGAATACAAAATGTTACAGAGGCACAGCCACTATGGGAAACAGTTTGGAAGTTCCCCCCAAAATTAACTATAAAATAATCATATTATCCAGCAATTCATTAAAAGCAGAAGCACAAACAGATGCTTGTATGACGATGGACACAGCAGTGTTATTCATAATAGGCAAAAAGGTTGATACAAGACAAATGTCCTTCATTGGATGAATGAAAAAACAAAATGTGGTATATACATACAATGGAATATTATTCAGCCTTTAATAGGAATAGAATTCTGATGCATGCCATGACACGGATGATCTTTAAAGACATTACACTAAGTGAAATAAGCAGTCACAAAAGAAAAGCTAGTGTGTGTATGATTCCACTTATATGAGGAACCTAGAAGGTAAATTCAGAGACAAAAAGTAAAATAGAGGGTACAAAATGTTGGGGGAAAAAGAAATTGGGAAGTCATTGTTTAATGGACACGGTTTCTGTTTGGAATGATGAAAAAGTCTGAAAAGATGTGGAGATAGATACACAACATTATGAGCAAACTAATGCAACTCAATTGCATAATTAAAATGGCTAAAATGATACATTTTATGTTAAATATATTTTACCACACACATACAAAATGAGATTTGCAAATCCCTGATATGATCAAATCACAGGTTCAATTATTTATTAAATACAATATTAGTCCCAGATACTATGTTAGGTGTCTAACTCTTGTCTAATGGACACAAAAGCTCTTTAAGGGGCATCTTAGTCCATTTTGGTTGCTATAACAAAATGTGTTAAACTGGGTATTGGATAGAGGCTGGACGAATTTTAAAGTGAATGGAGCATTAAAGGTGCTTCTGGTGAGGGTACAGAAGAAAAGAAGAGCTATAGAGAAAACCTCAGTCTTCTTAAAGCTTTTCTAAGAGGTCGTGAATAGGACGTTGATAGAAATATGGATGGTAAAGGCCATTTTGATGAGGTCTCAGATAAAAATAAGGAACATATTATTGGAAACTGGAGGAAAGGTGATCCTTTTTATGAAGTGGCAAAGAACTTGGTGGAATTGTGTTTGTATCCTACTGCTTTATGGAAAGCAGAAATTCTTGAGTGATAAATTAGGATATTTGGCCAAAAAAAATCTAAGCAAAATGTTGAAGATGGGGCATGTCTTCTCTTGACTGCTTATCGTAAAATGAGAAAGAAGAGAAATGAATTGATAAAATTTGTAATCAAAAAAGAATTAGAACTTAGAGATCTGAAATATTCTCAACCTGGCTATATTGTGAAGAATAAAAGCATGTTCAGGAGAGAACACCAAGGGTGTGGCCAAGCAACCTTTTGATAAAAAGATTAGTATGCTTGTGTGGAAGCCTGATGCTACTAATCAGGACAATAGAAGAGGGACCACAATAGCATTTTGGAGAGCATCGGAGCTGCCACTCCCTTCCCAGGACCAGAATGCCAAGGCCTGGGGAACAAAACTATGACGAAAGGCAAAACTCAAGTATGACTCCATTGGGCCAAGGTGCACTCCAGGCCAGTGTCTACCTCACCAGGGCTGCCAGAGGTAAACCTTGGTAATGTATGTGTGGTGCCATCTCCACTGGTGCAGAGAGTATATGAATTATAAGAAATGGCTGCCTCCACCTATATTTCAAAGGACTCACTGGAGAGCCATGGAGCCGAACAGAGAACTCCCACAGGTTTGGGGGCTGCTACAGACAGACCCACTAGAGCAATCCCCTAAGGAGCTTCAAGAGGGAGAACTGCTCCTGAGACCCCAGAACATTAGAGAAGCTAATATGCAGTATGAAATTTTAGCCCAGGAGCGCTACAGACATGTGACTTTAATGTGTCAGAGCTGCTACATGAACTGCCTCCAGCAAAGCCAAAGTGGCAAGGCTGGCTGGAACCTTCAGGGGTCCAACTCTTGCCCCACTGTGTCTGGAAGGTGGGCCATGGAACCAAAGAAGATTATTCTCAAGTCTTACGGTTTAATGTTGTTTGCCCTGTAGGTTTTCTTTTTAATTGTCTATTTTTTAAATTTTTAATTTTTATGAGTATGTAGTGGGTATATGTATTTATGGGGTATATGAGATATTTTGACACAGGCATACAAGGCATAATAATCACATCAGGGCAAATGAGGAATCCATCCCCTCATGTACTTTGATTTTTAATCCAAGTTGTTCATTCTGCCTTTAAGTTTTTTTCATATATACTTGGTTTCAGTTACCCCTTTCTTCCTTCTGATTTCCTCCTTTTGGAATAGAATGTCTGTTGTATGCTTGTCGTACTACTGCATTTCAGAAGCACGTAACTTGCTCGATTTCAGAGGCTCACAGCTGTAAGGCAATTTGCCTCAAAATAAATCATATCTTGAGACTCATGCATATCTGATTTAGCTGATATTCAGATGAGAATTTGGACTGTAGACTTGTGGAGCTAACAGGGTGGAATAAATATATTTATATAAATAAATATATTTATTCATATATAATATATTTTTTCATATATAATAAGGTAATTTACATATATAAATAAGGAACAAGGTAAGACTTCGGGAGCTAACAGGGTGGAATAAACATATTTTGCATACAAGAAGAACATACATTTTGTAGAGCCAAGGATGGAATTCTATGGTCTGAATGTTTGTGTCCCCCTAAAATTAATATATTGAAACCTAACCCTCAGGTGATAGTATTAGGAGGTGGGGTCTCTGAGAGGTGATTCGGTCATGAGGACTCTGCCCTCATGAATGGGAGTAGTGCCTTTAGAAAAAGGGTTTGAGGGAAGCTTATGCTTTTTTCACCCATTCCACCATAGAAGGTTATAAGGACATATAGAGTTGGTTGTACTGCCGTTTACAGTTTTAAAAAGTTTATGAATGGGAAATATTGTGTAATCAATATTTGTTTATTTCAATGAAAATGACTGCAATTGAATTGGCTCTAAAATCTAAATTTTGACATTTTGAAAAGTTTTAAATGTAGAGAATACAATATAACTTTTCACTTTACAACTGCATTTTAGGGGTAATTGAAGAATTGTGTGATGAAACTACAAATAAAATGAAAATGTTCAACAAGAAATGTAACACTGAAATATAAAACAAAATTTTCCACTTAGAACTTATTTCTACTTTTTAAATGAATAAACAGACCAATTTGTTTTTGTTTAATTTTGCTTTACTTTTTTTTCCTATAAAGTGGAAGAAATATTTTCAATCATTGCATACATAATTCTGAGGGGTTTGAGTTTCCTAGGTGTAATCTAATTTTCTAATAACACAAATAATCAATGTTGACAGGTAATATTAGTAAACTGAATGTCTGAAGTTCTATGTAGCCATATATAATCTAGCACTTGGTAAAAATAAATGTATGTCCTGTCACCTGAATTTTTTAAATTTAATTTTGAAATAATATTTGCCTTCTGATTTTCAGTGTCCTTTAAGTTTATTGGTGTCTCATGTTAATGTTGGCCTGAAACTCATAGTAAATTAAGAATGACAATTTATTTTTATTTTTATTTTGTTTTTGAGATGGAGTCTTGCTCTGTCGCCAGGCTGGAGTGCAGTGGCGCGATCTTGGCTGGCTGCAACCTCCGCCTCCCAGGTTCAAGAGATTCCCCTGCCTCAGGCTCCCTGGTAACTGGGACTGCAGGTGCACATCACCACGCCTGGCTAATTTTTTGTAGTAGAGACAGGGTTTCGGCCACCGCGCCCGGCTGCTATCCCAGCACTTTGGGAGGCCGAGGCTGGCGGATCACGAGGTCAGGAGATTGAGATCATCCTGGCTAACACGGTGAAACCCCATCTCTACTAAAAAAAAAAAAAAAAAAAATCAGCAGGGCGTGGTGGCGGGCGCCTGTAGTCCCAGCTACTTGGGAGGCTGAGGCAGGAGAATGGCGTGAACCTGGGAGGCGGAGCTTGCAGTGAGCCGAGATCGCGCCACTGCACTCCAGCCTGGGCGACAGAGCGAGACTCTGTCTAGTGAAAAGGTAGAGCATTTGATGTGAAGGTTATTTTATTATTCAATTTCATTCTTATGATGAATTTTATTTTATTTATTTATTTTATTATTATTATTATTTTTGAGACAGAGTCTCCCTCTCTCGCCCAGGCTGGAGTGCAGTGGCGCGACCTCGGCTTACTGCAACCTCCGCCTCCAGGGTTCATGCAGTTCTCCTGCCTCGGCCTCCGGAGTAGCTGGGACTACAGGTTGAAAGTGTTTCAAAGGAGACACTAGTAGAGTCTTAATATTGGACACATATAGATATAAATAACAGATGAGAGGTGGGGGCAGGAGCGGAAGTGAAATAACCTAATTTTCTATACCTAATTTGTAAATGTTCTCTACTCTCAGGTAAGAATAGCAGTGTTAACTTAAATTTATTATAACACTTGTCCATTTTCACATGATCTCATCTGATTTCTACAAGTGAGCCAAAACTCACTGTGATGAAATTTTATTATCTTATTTTGCATATGCTATAGAGCCATTTCTGAGTTTTAATATTCCATAGAGGATTATTCTTCTCTCTGTTATCATTATCAATGCTGTGTTAGTTATTTTGTCGAAAATAAACCTTAGAGTGTGTGTGTGGTGGGGGTGGGGAGGAGCGTGTGTGTGTTTTCAAGCTTGCAAAGGAGTTCTGTAATTTCAAGTATATAATATTGTTATGTAATTTCAAGTATATAATATTGTTATTTAATTTCAGTTATGAAGAAAATCTCTAAGCGAATAACTCACCCTTTTGCTATTTCAGTTGCTAATAACTATTGGATCTCAGGTATACGCTGGTGGCTATATTGAATACTAGGGGAATATTGAAGTCTGAGAATTTTAAAAAGAGGCAAATAAGGTTTAAGAAGCAACAAGGTGTTAGTAATATGAGAGAATTTAAAAGCGCATATCTGTGAGTTCAAACGCCACTGCCATCCTTGACCAGCGAAGCATCCCTGATCAAATTCCTTAGGCTCTTTATTTGCCACCTATCAATAAAAGTATTAAAATGTACCTTACTGGGTTATTAAATTGCATAACATTATACTAAAGAAAAATAAATTAAGAGCTTAGCATGAAATGGTTGCTTAATTATTGTTAGTTTCCTTTTTCTATACTTGACAATCATGACACTTGGTGTTATATACACATGTTTTTCACTGATTTAAGTAAAGATCTTTATTCTTCCAATTGTTAAGGTAAGATAATCTTTAAAAATAGAAGCCCAGTTTAATTCCAAATACAGAACCTAATTATTTCCTGAATCAAACCCTGCCAAATTAGAAATCCCATTGACTTTAATAATAATTCTATTAATATGCCTGACTAAATATAATTCTATTTTCTTTTTCGTATTCCTAGGAACATTCATCAAATGTGATTTTGTTTTATTATACATTAAAAAGCAGAATTATATTTATTGACTCTTAATCATTCTGGAATTGTTATTAAAGGTAAATATACTCTAAGAGGGTTGACAGAATAATGGACAGACTTCTTCCAGTTAAGTGTTTGAAAAACGAAGTCATTGCACTGCACAACGTAGGTGTTCAAAAGTGTTTGTTGATGATGTTGAGGAGGGTTATACATGAAAGATGCTGCTGAAAAGTATGTAAATATATGAGTGTGGACTAATAAGATTGACTGAGCAATCCTGTACATACTGTATAAATAAGCCTTTCCATGCCAACTTTCTTACCTGTGAAGCAGAAATTATGCTTTTCCTCCTGCCTGGTTAAATGCTGAGTGTCAATCACATAGTAAATGCTCAATAAAGAGTGACTCTTATGATTAGTTTGATACATGGTCACATATGATTTGTAGAGATCTAGAAGTGTACTTGTTTAAAATTGTTTCTAACTTGAGAAACCCCACAAGCCACACTAAAACTTGGTTGGGGGGGGGTGGTTAAGGCATTATATATAGTGTAAAAAATGTCCGTATTGGAATTATATAAAACATGACAGAGGCCGGGCGCGGTGGCTCACACCTGTAATCCCAGCACTTTGGGAGGCTGAGGCAGGTAGATCACGAGGTCAGGAGATTGAGACCATCCTGGCTAACATGGTGAAACCCCGTCTCTACTAAAAATACAAAAAATTAGCTGGGTGTGGTGGTGGCCACATGTAGTCCCAGCTACTTGGGAGGCTGAGGCAGAAGAATGGCATGAACCCAAGTGGCGGAGCTTGCAGTGAGCCGAGATAGCGCCACTGCACTCCGGCCTGGGCGAAAGAGCGAGATTCCGTCTCAAAAAAAACAAAAAAAAAAAA
Source organism: Homo sapiens (assembly GCF_000001405.40). Taxonomy (NCBI): domain Eukaryota; kingdom Metazoa; phylum Chordata; class Mammalia; order Primates; family Hominidae; genus Homo; species Homo sapiens. The sequence goes on along the minus strand of NC_000011.10, from coordinate 99,355,823 downwards.
AACAAAAAAAAACCATGACAGATGCATTTGTGACCATGAGGACAATAAACTAGTTAAGGCCGATATTATAGGCTGTCTAAAAAGGACTTGGGTCACCCATAACATAGGAGACTTAGGTACCTGGGAGCTAAAACCTGATTAAGATACTAAGTCATTGAAGAAAACCACTTTTCAAAATTTTGGTAATGTTTATCACAAGCATGAGCACAAAAACACTCTACTTTTTCTAGATGACAGCACCACCCCTCCACCACCATCATCCACAGAACGCCCTGTGGTGTGTGTCAAAGAGAAAGACTCTGCAGCTCTAACCTTTCCAAATTCAGGGCACTATGGCTCAAAATCCAATTCTACTTGCACTGAGGGGTCTTATGGATTAAAGTTATCCTTGTTTTGGGGTCTCATGTGAAACTGGTCCCAGAGAGATTTCTTAGAGCACAGGGTCCATTTTATTATGCTTTAATTAATGATTTATTTCAATATATATTTACTCATTGTTTAGTATTCGAGGACATATGTTCTATAGGCTAACAATATGCTATTGAAACAAAAAAGAATTACTGACTTTATGAAGCATTTGTAGTATCAGGCAAGGCATCCAGTAAACAGACAAATAATACATGCATTGATATGTGCAAGGGAAGAAAAACGAAACATGTTACAATCAATGGAAAGTAGAAAGTGTGCTAGTTAAGATAACACAGTAGGAAAGTCTGATCTGAGGAGGTGAAATTTCAAAACGGATTTAAATAAAATAAGGGAGCAAGCCACAAAATTACCAGTGATTAAGGTCTTTCCAGACAGAGATAACAGCAGTTTTGTGGGCCCTGAGATAAGTGTATTTAAGGAACTGCAAGGGGGCCTGTCTGTCCATAGTATTTAGGAGAGAGGGGTAGGGCTAAAGGATGGAAAGAGCGCCAGAAACTGTAGATTGTGAATTTTCTCTGGGCCATGATAAGAATTGCTTGTTACTTTGTGTGATGTACAGCTATGGCAGGGTTTTAAACATGGAACTGTTATACTCAGATTTGTATTTTCAAAGAATCACTTTTGCTGCTTCAAGATGACTAGACCAGGGAGGCAATGGTGGAAGTAGGGAGGCCAGTTAGGTGGTGATTTTTCAGGAGAGAGATCATGGGGTTTGGAGTATAGTGCAGAGGGTGAACAGCCACCATAATGTGGAATATGTTAGAGGTTATGCTGGTAAAATTCACTTAGCACTGATTACGGGGTATGAGAAAAAGAGGGGTCGCTGATGTCTCCCCTTTGCTTTTTATTATTTCCAGTTACAACATCATAGAAAAATTATCCGCATTTCAACTGACTAGTGTTGTCTTTCATAAATCTATAAAATGTGTTAAAATCCTTATAGCAATCTCCAGTTTCAGCTGGACTTAAAGAACTTCTTCAAAAAATTTTAGGCTTATCTGGATCTAAACAAGGTCCCGGGAACTCTTAATTGATGACCAACTACACTGAAAACATGCCCAACCCCTATTCTAAGGTCAAATGATGATTGGCAGCATATCACTATATTTCACAGGTGTATTAATATACTTTAAATAGCATGTGATTTATCTGGTCATGCTTATGTGGGTTCATGTAGCATAATGTAGCATTCATGTTATACTAAATGAGCATTTACTATATTGAAAATACATAATTGTGGAGTGAGAGAAAGCCAATTATGATTAATTATTCTTAAGAAACCTGTAGTTAAGGGAGGTATCACGTTAATTCCTTTTGATTGATGTCTTAGGATGCGCTAAGATTGCTAAAAATGCTATGAATTATATAGCATATGAATTTAGACCATCTACTGGATTGACAAAATATCATCATGCCAATCTGGCCAAACTACACATATCCCTAAATCAACCAAGCAACTGAGGAACAGCCTTCACGTGGGGTAAACGTTTTTTTCTTTGGAGCAGTTACTTATAAACAAGAACACCACTGTATGGACAAATGTCAATAATATATTCAAAATGATGGTGAGTGCAAACACAGCTATGATGTGGGTAATCAAACAAGGTTTATTTAAAGGCAAAAGAAAAAAGTCAGGACAATCAGGATGCACAGCAGAGAAATTAACCTCATTCTTAGGCAACAGATCTGCAAATGTCTTGGTAGTCCTGGCTATCCTCATTAGTGGAACTGAGTTATAGATGGTAAGCCTGTGTGAAGGAGGCCCTCCTCTTTTGACTTAGCCATACATATGCAAAGTTAAATCTGACCATGATTCAATCTTTTCTAGATATATGCTGGAGATAGTAGCAACTGGATTGTTTGCACTCCATCAGTCTCAAAATTATCAAATACAATGTAAATGCAGGGTACAGTGAAACATATGGATAGGCCAGGACAAAATTACCATTCCCCGCTCTTACTTTCCCAAATACTAGTTTGGACAAGCATACACTCAACTGGATCAAGACTCAAGCACCCAGAATTCCCTGTGTCATTCTATTTTGAAAAAATTTTGTAGTCTACTAATAATTTTTGGAACATAAATGTAAATGAAGTACACTTACATCAGTTTGAATGAGAAACCAATACTTTATAAAAACGTGGGATTTATAGGCGGTCAAGGCAGGTAAGATGCCTTTGTGCCTTTTCCTCATATTATTGAGTAACTTGAAAATAGCAATAGTACTGCTGGAGAGAAATAGCTAGATTGGGCCTTGTATAGTGTCTTTCTATTTCCCTGTCTGAAAGGGCTTATAGGAAATCCTTAAGTTTACTGGAGCTATGGGGGCAAGTGGCAGGGGCAAGTGGCAGGTGGCTAATGATGGCACAGAAGAAAGGAACGACAAGAGATTCACCGCCCGGCTCTCAAAGGATCTGTGGTATAAGGGAGAGCCTGAGCTGGCTTGCCTGGTCAGTGAGGCAGACAGCCATCTCTATGCATTGACAGTCAGGAAAACACACTCAGGGTTGTGCCAGGTGTTGACACTTGGCAACTAAGACTAGAAGTGATGTTGACAAGTGCGACAAGGCCCTTGACCCCAAGGACAGCACGTAGGCCAGAGCCTTCCTCTTCCCTTTTCAACACAAGGTTATATAAGCTCCCACCTTGTCCCAGACAATCTTGGAAAGGAATAATGAAAGATGATACCTCTTGGCTGGGAAGATAATGCCTGCTAGGGAGTTCTGTGAGCTAACTGAATATCTATCTACACAGAAATTGTGGAAAGTAAGGAAGACTGGGTTTTACTTGGCAAGTTTAATTTTCTTATTGTTTTTATTGTTTCAACTTTAGGAATAGGGGCTCCAAACAACATGAGATCAGTTATAGAAAAAAAAGAAAAGAAAATTTTGGTATGTTTGACTCATCATGATTAAATTTCTGTCTTCCTACACAAGTTATGTTTGCTATTATGTAAATTATAAGAGCCAAGTCAGAAAAATAAATATATGATGGGGAAGGAAAGGAACCATAAAAACCATTTCAACTGCATTAATACTCTCAAAATACCTGTCTATGAATGAGACAGCCAATTTACAGAATAAAATACCTTGGCTCTAATAGGCATCCTAAATAGATAACATTTAGTTGCAGACTGCCTTTTTAATGCTGTGAGGTCACTCCACAGGTTTTTAGAAAGCAGTCTTTGTGGGAACAACAACAGGCTCCTCCACAAATCACTCAGGTCTATTCATATTCCTGGATATTCACACAGCTATCATGTACAAATCTGACACTTTGAAGAATTCGAAACTTTCTAGTTTCATTCAATGCTGGGCATTTACTGTCTTAATCTGTGTTGTACATGCATGGTACATACCTCTTTCTATTAATGGCATTTGTCTTGTCAATGTCATCTGCTTTATATTTCAATTTCCTGGGCAGGAGCAAAGTTGATTTGGCAGAAGAATAAAAAATCTTATAACCCTTTGGTACGTTCTAATCAGGTTCCAGCCACAGTGGGTATTTAACTCTGTGTTTTCAAACTCAACTATGCTTCATTGGAGATCTGAGGTTCCTTGGCAGATGCCTAGTCTACTTGGCAGGAGAACAAAAAAGATGGTTGTAATCTTTTGGCATTTCCTACTCAGATGACAGCCTCAGTAACATTGAACTCCATATTTTCAAATTTGATTTATATAGTAGTTCACTGGAGAACCTTAAATATTCCAATCAATTTGGGAAATCTATCATGAAGAGAAATACTGTATAGGTAGATTGGGACCAAATTAGGAATCTTATGTTTGTGTTTTTAATCGTTTATACCATCATTTATTTCTGAAAATACTAATGCTTAGGTATTTTATATATGTTATAATTAAACACTATAAATTAGATGAAAGAGGAAGGATTTTAAAATGAAAGGAACATAAAATGTAAGCATAGAAGGAGGAATTTGTATACCACAACAACTATTACTTCTGAGTTAGGCAAGCCTGAATTTAAACAGCAGTTCCATCCCACAGAGCCTGCACAAGCTTGGCAGGGAAAGTTGTTCAGACTCTGTAAGCATTAGTGTCTGTATCTACAAAACAGGGCCAATAATTCTCACCTCACGGTATTGGGAGTGGTAAGTGTAGCAATGTAGGCAAAATATTTAGGATAGTACTTGGCTTCCTCTATATCAGTACACAATAGAGTTCAATAATTACTAGTATAACAGGGAGTTAAATGGACCTTTTTTTATTATTATACTTTAAGTTCTGGGTTACATGTGTAGAACATGCAGTTTTGTTACCTAGGTATACATGTGCCATGGTGGTTTGCTGCACCCATCAACCCGTCACCTACATTAGGTATTTCACTTAATGTTATCCCTCCCCTAGGCCCCCACCCCCACAGGCCTTGGTGTGTGATGATCCCCTCCCTGGGTCCATTTGCTCTCATAAAATGGAATTCTTTCTGCTTGGTTTTAGGAACTAACTTAATAAATATTGCATATTTCAAAGTAAAATGCTAGTAAAATCCATTTCTGCTGGGATTTTCAAAGCACTTTAGTTCCCACTACAGAAAATTATCATACACATCTTCTCAATCATCCCCTACCGAAATCCTCAGAGATTGCCACTATTCTGATTGTTTTCTTTTTATCATACATGACATTTTTCTGTTCAAGAACTAAATAGACATAGAATCACACTGTATGTACTCTTTTAACTGAGGTTTCCTTCATGCAGCACAGTGTTTCTGAGATCACTCATACTGTTACATGATCAGTAGTTTGTTCCTTCTTACCGCTTAGTAGTATTCTTTTGTGTATATCACAATTTGTTTATCCATTCACCTTTAACAGACAGCAGGACTCTTCCTAGTTTTAGGTAATTATGAATAAACTTTCTTTGGTTATTCTCGTACACATATTTTTGTGAACATATGTTTTATAATTCTTGGGTAAATACCTAGGAGTGAAATTGCTGGTTCACAGTGCATATCTATATTTACATTTATAAGTAAACGCACAAAGTTTTTCTAAAGTGGTTAGACCATTTTATAGTCTCCACAACAATGAATGTGAGTTCCAACATCTAAAATCTTTGCCAGGATTTGGTGTTTTCATTCTTTAAAAAAATTTTAGGCATTCAGGTGGTGTATTTTAGGCATTCCGTTGTTAATTTGCTTACTTTTCATATACATAGCAATTATTAAAAGGTGAAAAAAATACTAGGGAAGGGAAAGTACATCAGTCACCTAGGCTAAAATACATTGTAGTTAAAGGTGTTTTAGTGTTAAAAATAAAACTCCTAATTATAACTAGGAGACAGCTCACCATCAAAACACACAAAGTAAACATTAAAAGGGACTTTAGTTGGCAATATAACTTGAAAAAAATATTCTTCCACATTTATTTTTTTCAACCTTCTATCACCTTCATTCTAATTATGTATATAGGTAGGCTGTGAGAACACTATGTCCACGTCTAAAATGAAAAGAAAATGACAACATTTTTGCACACATTAGAATATCTTCTTTCTAAAATCAGAGAGATCAGTGGTAGGAAACTGATGGCTTATTCTAGAATATTAGTTTCCAGAATAGAGATGTATCCTTGTTTTATCACATTCTTATCCATCCTTCAACCCACTCATCTATGTTACATGCCACCATATCCTGTTCTTAAATGAGTTTATCACAAGTTTTCCAGTTAATTTTATTTAACTCCCTTTAAAAGTTTAGTTCACAAGGAAGCAAACTTCTCCCTTCTAACATCTCCAGATGGCCTCAACCGGACCTGCTGTCATTCCAAGTGTTCAATTCCCCCAAATGATCCATTACACCATGGTGTATTTATAATAAATAAAGGTTAAAAGATCATAAAAACAAGACCATATGCCCAAACATGTTGTGTGTACCTTGGCAATGGGAACGTAAGGACTAAGTCAGATTAAATTCAGCTTGCCAAGAAACTGGACCAAAACCAGGGGAAAAAAATCTGTCATAAATGCCATGGAGCTGAACAGCAGTTCACTTAAGGGTAGTGGGGAGAAGAGTGGCCAATCTATCTATATCTCTGCCAGATATTTTCTGGCAGACGGCCAGGAAAAAAATTTATAGCATGACTATGGAGGAGTATTGAAAAATTTGGGTTTCTCATAAGCATATGTTAAATTCCACCAGGAAAGCTTCCCCTTGTTCAGCTTGTGACTGTAATATTGCCCTTTCAGACACGATCGGGCACATTCAGGGTGGTCTGGCCATAGACTAATATTAGCTTTTCAGATGGTGTTTCTGATTGTCATCTCATACCCAGATCACTGCATTCTTGTTCACGTTTCTCTATAGCACTTACCACCATCTAATAACCATGTAATTTATTTACTCATTTTGTGTGTTGGTTGAAATCACCCACTAGAATAAAAGCTTTGTGACCGTAGGGATCTTTGTTGCTTGTTTCATTATTTGGCTATACTGAACCTGCTATAGTGAACCTTTGGCACAGAGTGCTCAGTATGTATTTGTGGAATGCACGTATCAATGATTGAACACATGGAGCACTTAGGCACCACTGGGTGACATTGCAGGGGAGAGTTTTATATTAGTGCTGTGCACACCAAGGAGTCTTCCAAAGCTAAAAGTAATGATTTAAAACCACAGATCTTACATGTATTATAATATATGTGATATATAATACACACACATACACACTGTCAACTGGAAAATTAAGAAACTTAAGATTATCTGAACCAAAGTAGACCATGTCTAACTGGTGGTAGATGGATCTGAAGGATCTTGGGACCATGCCATCTATCCAGAAGAAGTGATTAAACTAAGGAGTTAAAAAAATATCCGAAGGCAGTCTGTAGGTTGGAGTTTCTCCATTTGCAGTTGGCAGGCTTAGATATAAAACCTTCCTTAAATCCAGATTACCGAACTTAACCTCAGCAGACTTATTTCAATATAATCAAAAATATCATAACTACATGGTAGTAGAAGAGTTATCAATATGTTCTAGGCCTTAAAGTTTCAACCAGTCATACTTGAATTACTTCAGAAGACTGTTCTAGTGTATTTTTTTGGGGGGGACGGAGTCTCGCTCTGTCGCCCAGGCTGGGGTGAAGTGGCACAATCTTGGCTCACTGCAAGCTCCGCCTCCTGGGTTCACGCCATTCTCCTGCCTCAGCCTCCCAAGTAGCTGGAACTACAGGCGCCTGCCACCACGCCTGGCTAATTTTTTGTATTTTTAGTAGAGATGCGGTTTCACCATGTTAGCCAGGATGGTCTCGATCTCCTGACCTCGTGATCCGCTAAGAAGATAGGCTAGTAGCAGTGATCTTTTGTGCAATTATTTAAATTTAATTTGTTAGTAATCTAATGAATTATTTTCATTAAATAAATAACATTATTTATTAATGATAATTCAACCATATAAAGAAACAAATTCAGCTGTTCAAATGCATTTGTTCAAAAACTGAAGCAGAATATTTTTGCCTACAACAAACTTTACACCTTGATCGTATTTTTAAAGTAATATACAAAACTTATTTTCAATAGCAGAGTAGTGCCTTTTTAGTAAAGAAAATTATTAATAGCACATTATATTGGGGAGAAATGACAGTGAATCATTTAGCAGGAGTTCTGCTGACAGAAACAACTCCTACCCACCTCAGAACGAAAAATATCGGGGCTAATATCATGGTAGAATTGTCATTTAGTTACCAAAAAAATGCAAATAACGCATACTAAACACACTGTGCACCCTTGTTACACATATTCTTAACCTCCCTTCTTATTTTTCCATTAATTAAAGTGCAAAATAAATTGAAATCAGGTCAGACTCATGAAAAGTGGGACTGAACTGCCTAACAGCCTAAGAAAAGTGATATGATATGTGCTTTCTCTTATTAGATATAAGAAAACAAAGAAATTTTAATATAGCTATTATGTTATTTGAGCCTATGTTTTTCTCTATATAGTTTATGTGTTATTATATTAATTACTTTTGTTTCTAGTGAGTGGAGAAGCTAAACATTGAGATTCATAAAATCCTTTATTTTCTTTGTTTGGAAGTTTTATAACACTTCCCACGCCCTGTGTCATTGTTTTACCCTTTGATAATAATAATCTTTTTGTGCTAGTATAGAAACACAAAAGGCAGAGATTTTCCTAGAATCCACAACTATCCACGTGACAGGACTATTTCAGTAGCATAAAGACATGGCCTAGAGAATAACCAGGATTGTGATTGAACTTGAAACTCTGGGACACAAGGACTACTTGAAGGAATCAGGGATATTAAGCCAAAGATGTAAAAACTCTGGAAGAACATGAAAACTCTCTGCCTCTCAGATCTGATACAATGAATAAATGAGATTTTGCATACAAAACAACATAGTGTCTCATATCAGTCAATGACATTTAGCTAGTGTCTTTGTCAGTCTGGGCTGCTATAACAAAATATCATAGGGTGGGTAGCTTCTATAACAAATAGTTATTTCTTACAGTTCCAGAGGCTGGGAAGTCCAAGATAAAGGTGTAGCAGCTTCAGTATCTGGTAACGGTTTCCTTTCTGATTTGTGGATGGCTGCCTTCTTGCTGTGTCCTCACACAGGAGAGAGCGAGCTTGTGTCTCTTCCTCTTTTCATAAGGGCATTAATCTCATCATGAGGGCCTCATACTTATGACCTATTCTAACCTACCTTACCTCCCAGAGGTCACATCTCTAAATATAATACCACTGGGAATAAGGGCGTTAACATAAGAATTTTGGAGAAATGCAAACATTCAGTCCATATCAGCTATTTCTTAGTCACAAGTGCACCCTGCTCTGGTGAGGTTCAACTCCTTACTGGAGCTGTGACTATTGCCAGCAGGGTACACCTTGTGGGAGAGCTGACACCTCCTCCACCACAGTAGTGGAGACCTCGGTAGGCTTCTCTCTCCAGGGATGGCGAAGTAATCATAATCCCTGTCACAAGGGCCACCAGGCCTGAGGAGATCAAGGCCTTCTGGACACAAAACAGGCTGAGTATTGGTGGAGATGAGAGAAGAAAGGCAGGTGTTTGCAATACCATATAGACACTTTTGAAAATACATTAGTTCACAATTTTTGCATTACATTTTCAAAATTAATTCAATTCTTTGTTGATAATCAATCGATTGTTGATCATCATCAATTAAGCAGAATTATTGCTTGCCTCTCAGCACCTCTACTGACTTTCTATATACTTTATATTGGAAGTCAATATTTAGAGGCAGTATTCACACAATATGACATAATGTGGAGTGAAAAAGTCAAATATAGAATTAGATCTGTGCTATAATAATGATAGGAATTTACGCCTATGGACAAAAACTGAAAGAAAACACAAGCTTTAAAAAGTATTATGTTAGCATGGTGTGAATGTGGGCTAACTATTTTTCATCTTTATTTTGTTCCTTCAATATTATGAAATATGCATTAATGTATGTAATTAATCTCTCATGTATCTTTTGATTTGTTTTGAAATTTTTGATTGAAATACTTGAGGTTTTCTACTTACTCTTACCTTTGGGAAAAATACAATCAATTTTTAATAATTCTATTTCAAAGGGGCCAGGAGAAAGTATACAAAATGAAAGGCATATTTTACAGTTATTCTGAGGAAAATTAAGTAATAATTTACATATGCATAGCAACAAATATATATAATCTACATTTTAATAGAACTAAGACTGAAAGTCTTTTCCAAGCATATCATTCTTAACATATCTTCTCAGATGGAAAACACAGGTATTAACGCTCTTTAGACATCGGATCAAATCTTGATCTTGAGCTATTATTGTTATATGACATGGTACATGTTGCTTCTTTTAACCTCATATTCCTTTTTTGTAAAATTTGAGTGATAACGCCTTCCTCATTGGGTGCTTCAAGGTTAAGAATTGAGAAAAATGTTTCAATCCACCACAGGGATGAGGGCATAAGTTTTGGTTTGGATATATTTATTTTAAGTTGCCTTTAAGATGCCTGTGTACAAAGGTGAAGATAGGAATGGGATAGTTGAAAGGAAAGGACTGAGTAAACCACATAATCCTAATAAGTCATTAGATTCAGTTTACGTCACTAAAAAGATTATATCCCCCTCAACAACAGTGTATAATTCATTAGAAAAACAATACTGAGCGCTAATATATGAGCAATATTATTCCCATATTATGTTTTCATAGTATTCCTGAGTGTATGTTTTATTTTAAATATGAAATACTTCCATATATATGTATTCATATGGCTTATATGCTTGCTTTACAGGAGTCCTAAATTTCCCTTTTGAGTAATTTAACACTTGGAATCAGTACAAGTGGGAGTAATTCAAATATTGGCCTGAGAAAAAGGTTCCACGTCCAGGGGTCTTGACTATGTCCATTATGTTTTCTGTTCCATCACAGGCCCTTCAGATGCAGAAAGCTACACATTTCCAACTTTTCTTTTGTCTACCCAATAAGAGGTCCAGAAATGTCTAATCTTGTAAGGGTAGTGACTTAAAATATACTATGGTCTTGGAGAACAAGCAATTAACTAGATTTTAAGGGGCCTTACAGCTCATTGTAACATTTCTTCTTTAAACATACTTTTCTTATTTTTGAATGCTCCCTTAGCTGGGTCTCCAAAGTCAGTCATTTCACCCCTTGTCTGTGCAGATCACCAAGCAGTGTGCTGCTCATTTTGATGCTTTTCGGAGCAGAGATCACGAGCTTCACTGATGACATTTGATTTAAATTTTTCTATTACCCTATAGCCATTCTATTTACTTATTTTGCTCTTATTTATATGATCTGCTTTGCTACATTAGATGTATTTATCTTCACTTTCTTTTTCAGAAAAGTGGTGAACTAAAAAATTTTATATCTATTTTTCAAAAGATGGATATCTTAATGTAATAAAAATTGTTATTTTTAACATAATAGATAAACGTTAGTATGAAGACCCTGTCAGATCAGGATTTTTAAAAAATGAAACAATGTGTGATTAGTAACAAGAGTTTTCTGAGTGAATCTCTTTTGACAGCTTTAATCAAAACCTGAAAGAAAGTGAGGATCAATTTTTTTCCTATTCTTTTCAGTTAACTAAGGATTGAGGTAAACAATGAGAAAGGTAATTCCTCCAAAATATGTCTGGTAAAAGGTTTTTGAAAATACAGATCCTTAATTTTACTTATCAGCAAGTTATCGATCTATCGGTGGACAAAATCCTACCTTATAAAGCTCTTAGCACTAACTGGGAAAGCTTCCTCGTGCCATAGACTTTCTACCGAAAACTTACGCACTTTGAAGTTGAGGAGATGTGGGGCTGGGTGTGCTTAGTCACAAAACAATTGTCTTCCCGTAAGTTTGGCAATTAAATTTATCAGGTATTATCTCTATATGAGAAGGCTATTTTATAAATAGTCACATTGTATTTTTTAGGTTTATCATTTTCAAATGTTGGATTTTCTTGAAATGACATTTTATGAATGTAAATGAGGCTTTCACAAGCGTCTGTAAATTTTTTTTTGTTTCACTTAGCACACTCTATGTAATTACACATTTACTTGCCCTGTTTCATTGTCACCTCTAACACATTATTTGACCCATAGTATCTGATTGATTTATATGAAACTGCTGTTTTTGTAGGTCGAAATGTGGTCAAATGTTTTAAATGAATGACTGGTCATTATGAGTTTTTCATTTTAAGAATATAAGTTTTTCAAAAATGCTCCTTGAAAAATTTTAAAGCAGCTTGCTTTAAGCAGAATTTAAAAGATAGATACATATTAGAAGGTATAGATACAGAGATCGACGTATAACACAATAATATAAATTTTTCAGATTATCTTAAAACTATGCACAGGGCTTTTTACTAAAACTGAGAATGGACATTTAAAATATACTTTAATTCACAAAAATCAAAGATTTCTTAGTGTCAGAAGTGACCTTGGATATCATACCTAGTCTACTTTTTCAGAACAGGATACGTCTTATAATGAAGCACTCACTAACACTATGTAATTCAGAGTCAGAAACCTTTTTATCATGCTGAGCTGAAATACCTTTCTGACAGCTAGTCTTGGTCCACAGGCTATTCTTTGGAGCAACACATACCTATTCTAATCCATCTTCCACATGACAGTACTTTTAAACATCTGAGAACATACATATTGTGTCTGTCTAAATCTACTGCTTTCCAGAGTACACATCCTCAATTTCTTTCATCATTTCCCAGGTGATAAAGATTCGTCATCCCTCCTCTCTTTCCAGCCACCTGCAGCTTGCTATTGCCTCTCTTCCAGATGAGGCCTGACAAGAAAAGAGCACAATGACACTGCAGCATCCTCTATTCTGGATCCAAGCTTCACAACTATTGAATGATAGCAATCTAATGCTCCCTTTCCACTTTACAAAATTTTGTCTTTTGTTTTGTTTTGTTTTGTTTTTTGTTTTGTATATCTCAGTTTTTTTTAATCTGATGACAAATGACCATCATTGAAGTTATTTTCTACACAGACTCAGTAATATTACTAATATCTCAGCTAGAACAACACCTTAAGTTTGTCTGGTTCTAATTAATTGTATCCAAAGATTTTTTTATAGTCCTAAAAATAAACAGTATAATAACACTTGAATTTGGGCACTAATATCCATCTGCTTTCTTTCTTTCTTTCTTTCTTTTTTCAGATAAGCTTTCCCTCTGTTGCCCAAGCTGGAGTGCAGTGGTACTATCACCACAACCTCCATCTCCTGGGATCCTGCCCACCTTAGCTGCTTAGCTGGGATCACAGGCACGTGTCACCACGCCCTGCTTTTTTTTTTTTTTTTTTTTTTTTTTTTTTTGAGATAACGGGGTTTCGCCATGTTGCCCTGGCTGATTTTGAACTCCTGGACTCAAGTGATCCACCAACCTCGGCCTCCCAAAGTGTTGGGATTACGGGCATGAGTCACTACGCCTGTTTGCCTGCTTCTTAAATAATAAAATGACACCATTTCAAATTTTATAAAAAAATAAATAATTTTTAAAATGATTGTCCTACTTTGTTTTATGTTATAGGTAAAAGCCTTGGCGTTTATCATTGTAGCATTGATTCAGGTTTCCCATATATATCCCTCTCCTCACACAGTTGTCTCTGAATCAAGTTATGAGAAATAGTTTGTGGCAATGAGTCAAATTACACACACTAGATTGTAAATTTTAAAATATTTTAAAGTCTGTAAAATCTTATTTACAAATAGCAAGTAAAATGTTTGCTTCTGATATTTAAGACTATTTTTTCCATATCTTTCTGAGACTAACACTATTTTTAAATATGGAAAAGATCAGCATGACAAATAAACACTGATTTATTACTAGATATGTTAGATAGCTTATTATTTTATTAAGCAGGCCAAGATGCTCTTGAATCAAGTTTAAATCATAACTTTTATTATTAGAATTCAAATCTGGATTATTGTAGTGATTCCTCCTTGGATGCTAATTACATCAGTGTTTTCTTTACTATTTTTGTTCTCTCACAGTACTTTTCTTCAGCCGTGGTTTGTCATTTAATTTTTCTTGAATTGCAAATTCAAGAAACTGGACTCAAGGCCTGTTCATGAAGGTTTCTATCACTGGAATTTTGTCTCCTCAATAACTTAACAGAGACTGATTAATGACCTTCAAGTAAAAAACGTTCTTGTAAGGTTAAATATAAGCTTTAAGTTTGTCCTTTTTCTTTTCTTTTCCTCTTTTTGTTGTTTGTAGATAACATACTTCCCCTTCCACAAAGAGTACAAGACATGTGACTTACTGACCATAGCACATTCCACTGAATTCCACAGTGATCCAGTTTGGTAAATATTCTGATTATTCCAATTTTACAGGTGAAGAACCTGAGAAAATGAAGGTTTGCTCCAAATCATGCAGTTTGAATTACTAGAATTGGGATTCAAACTCGTGCTTCCTGATGACAAATTCCATATAATTTCATACTTGCAGACTACCTCTAAGTTTTAATGCTTCAAAAAGGCATACTATGAAATTATTGAAATAATATAAAATGAGATTATATATGTAAACTATTTGTATTCACATGTGGTTAGTCTGAAAACAAATTCCAAATATTTCATTTAGGGAAACTTGTATTTTGTTTGTAATACATATTTACATCTATTTTAAATAAATATTCAATGTTTTATTTATTGTGATATTAGAAGTTAAATTATTTCAGTTTGCTATGATTATTCATTAGAATAAACATACTTTCATAGAGAAGCCTCTCTTCCAGTTACAAGATGGTATTGAATTCTTGTTTCATCTCTTGTTAGGCTTTTATCTAATTTACAAAAGGTATGAGATGCAAACATAATAATAAAATTTGCCAGCAAATGCTTTATAAGATATCAAGTATTTCGGTCACCCAAAGTATGACCTTTAATGAATTACTGTTTAACCAGGCAGTTCAAAATGGGGGAGATTAGAGAAGCAGCAGAATCAAGCAGAAAAGTTTACCCAAAATATTGACAGTTAGCAGCCTGAAAATATAATTTCTAAGAAAATCAATGGAATTATATTTTGTGGTCATGAATATGTTTAATGTAGATTTATGTAATTGTAATACCATAGCTTTTGCAATTAATTACTTTCATTAAATTATTTTATAGAATTATTTTTATGATTGTTTCTATTAGTAATTGTTGCTTTAGAGAAAAATCTATCTGTACTTGCTTTCTTTGCTTTTTCTCCTACCGTTTGATCTCAAAGGCACTCAGACCAGGCTTTCAGTTCAACCATAACTTCTACGCCATTGCAAAAGCTCTTAGCAAGTAACAGTAACACCAAAACAAATAAAAAGTCACTCCTAACTTCTTATCTAACCAATAGCAGCTTTTGTCATGGCTTTTCATTTCCTCCTTAAGTCTTTATAATCTACATCACCATTCTTCACTTGTTCTTTCAATTTCTGTAGCTGCTCCTTCTCAGGCTTTTTTTTCCCCCCTAATTATCCACATCTCTGTAATCTATGTTTTGGTCCCTATAATCCTTACTTTTCCTGTCTTCTTTTGGAGTATTGCCAGACACACCAGTGCAGACTTTCAATTTTATATCTCCAGACAACTCAGCTTCCTTATACTCCAAATTTATATGTCCTGCTAACTATTTTACATCTTTGCTAGTATATCAAATACGCACCCCACACCTGTCTGGAAATGATCTCCTTAATCTTCCCATCCCAAACTGCTTTCTCTGACACTTGCCCAATCTCAACAAGAAGAATCTTGTTTCTAGTTGTCTAGGGAACTCCCACCCTCTAGTTCCTAAGGAACAAAATACTGGGATCGTCCTTTATGCTTTCCCTTTTCTTACATGTCATATCTAATCCATCAATAATTGCTTAAAATGTAAATTAAATCACGACATTGCTCAATTCAAAACTCTCCACCAGCTTGCTATATATACCCTTACGGAGGGTGAAAACCAAAGTCCACACAATATCTCACACTGATGTATTTTTTTTTTCTAAAAAATGATTTTGGTTTTATCCTACCAGCTCTCTTATCTCACTTTTTTCACTCTCCATCTCACTCACTCTTCTCTAGTCCAATCAAATACATTCTTGCTTCAGGGCATTTTTTTTTTTTTTCTTTTTTGAGTCGGAGTCTCACTCTGTAGCGCAGGCTGGAGTGCGGTGGCGCAATCTCAGCTCACTGCAAGCTCCGCCTCCTGGGTTCACGCCATTCTCCTACCTCAGCCTCTCTAGTAGATGGGACTACAGGCGCCTGCCACCACACCCGGCTAATTTTTTTGTATTTTTTTAGTAGAGACGGGGTTTCACTGTGTTAGCCAGGATGGTCTCGATCTCCTGACTTCGTGATCCACCCGTCTCGGCCTCCCAAAGTGCTGGGATTACAGGTGTGAGCCACTGAGCCTGGCCACTTCAGGACATTTTCACCTGATGTCCCTTCTGTCACCAAAAAATCCACATGACTGGCACCCTTACATTCTTTATGCCTCAGAGCAAACATTGGCTTAGCAAAAAGGTCTTCCAGAATCTCCCAGAAAAACGAAAGCAAAAAACCACCCAACCATAACATTCTCTATCCCTTTAACTGAGATTTATTTCTGCCAAGACATTCATCACTTAAAAATATTTTGCATTTTAATTTATTCATTAATTTAATACCTTTATTTTCATACTAGAAAGTGAATTTCAAAAGGATAAAGTTTTTTTATTTTAATGTTTTCATTTTTAATTTTTGTAGGTACATAGTAGGTGTATACATTTATGGAGTACATAAGATGTTGTAATATAGGCATGCAATGTGAAATAGGCACATCATAGAGATGGGGTATCCATCCCCTCAGCATTTATCTATAGGGATAAGGACTAATAAAATGATTCATGGCTATATTTCTAGTTCACTCATAATGGACACTATATATATATATACACACACACACAAACACACACATATATATCACAGATATATATATATATATATATATATATATCTGTGAATGAACAAAATACATAAAATTGATTAAGCACCAACAAAACTCTTAGAAAATTAGAAAAAAGATGTTATAATGATTTTCCTAGATTATTTATTTAACACATTTTATAACTAAAGTTGACACAATTTACATAAATATAAACAAAATAAGCAAATAAAATAAATGAGCATATACAAATAGAGAAAATACCAATAAGAAAAGAAAATGGAAGACATCATAAAACCTAGTACAGTTTCTTGGCTCCCATTTTGGCTTTAATTTGATTTTAAGCCTCACATCAGCCAAAGCAGAATGAAATACTATAAATGACATTATTTTACAGAATCAGGGAGATTAAAATAAATACACACCCTGGTTCTCACTGAATGTTAAAAATAGCAACAAAATAAAATTAAACAGCAACAAAAAAAGTTATCCCCAAAACGAACAACTGTTCTCTGCCGTAAGAAAAAAGAGACATTCTCCACCCCTCATTCTGTTCCAACCCCCTAATGGAACCCTGTCAGACATGGTGGACACCATGCCCTACTCATTCTTGTGATTTGAGTATTACTGAATCTTATTATGCCCCTCAATAAAAATAAATAGCAAAGACCAAAATGCAATTCAATAAAAGCAGTTTTATGAAAGAAAAAGAATGAGACTCAAGTATAGAGCTGTTTGACCAGGCTGGGTGGAAAGATAAGTAAGTCAAACATTTTTAAATGAGTAGATATTATTGAATGAAATAGCAGATATTTCATTGTGTTGCATATTTAAAGATGCTTTGTGTTCATAACAGTATAAAATTAACACCTACTTATAATGCTAATGTAAATGGAAGGAACCACTTCCAAAAGACATATATAGAAAAATTAATTTTCTATTTTACAGCAATTTAATTTTTACAAATAAGTTTATGAATTTAAACTAAAGCATGTAATATGGCATATAATACTCTGAAATATCCTATAGTTGAATAATTTTTCCAATTTTAATGTGATAGTAGTCATTTCAATAGTAAAGAAAACAACATTTAGTACAGATTTATTCTGCTTTGATTTTTTTAAACTTTTATAGAACATAGAAATAACTACTGACATTATACTTTCAATATTCCAAAAAAAGACTTCTTATACATTTTTTTCTTTGAATAGCCTCAAGTGGAAAATAATAGATAGTCCCGGAAAAATATGTAACTTACTATTTTGTTGGGAGCAAGCCCCCCAAAATCCAGCCATAAACTGGCCCCAAGACTGGCCATAAATAAAATCTCTGCAGCAATGTAACATGTCCATAATCGCCATAACACCCAAGCTGGAAGGTTGTGGGTTTACGGGAATGAGGGCAAGGAACACCTGGTCCGTCCAGGGCAGAAAACCACCTAAAGTCATTCTTAAGCCGCAAACAAACGTATGAGCAATCTGTGTCTTAAGGGCGTGTTCCTGCTGCAATTAATTCGGCCTATCCCTTCGTTTCCCTTAAGGGATACTTTTAGTTAATTTAGTATCTATAGAAACAATGCTAATGACTGGTTTGCTGTTAATAAATACGTGGGTAAATGTCTGTTCCGGGCTCTCAGCTCTGAAGGCTGTGAGATCCCTGATTTCCACTTCACACCTCTATCTTTCTGTGTGTGTGTCTTTAATTCCTCTAGCGCTGCTGGGTTAGGGTCTCCCCGACCGAGCTGGTCTCTGCACTATTTAACTGTAATATTTATAAATTAACTTAAATTCCACAGCTACAACATGTTTTTCAAAAGTCTCTTCTAAGATTATGCTTATCTTCATTTCACATACACCTTAATATTAGGAAAAAATTGAACGGACTGTCCCTTCTCTGACAAGATATAGAGAAAAATTATTAAGAAATACACTGATTCCCCTTCTAGCTTCAAAAGGCATGAAGAAATACTCTGTATGTGTCCTTATGTGACTTCAAAATTCTTGTTAAATTTCTTTAGAACATGGTCATTTGTAAAAAAAAATCTGTACACCAAGCATGTTTCCCTTTTACTATTGTGAATTGTCATGCTGTCATAGTGATCTTCTTTCTATATCTACTGTTTAGTAAACATTTTAGCTCTTATTCTTTTTTTTTCTTTTTTTTTGAGACAGAGTCTCACTCTGTCACCCAGGCTGGAGTGCAATGGCGTGGTCTAGGCTCACTGCAACCTCTGCCTCCTGGGTTCAAGCGATTCTCCTGCCTCAGCTGGGATTACAGGCACCCAGCACCATGCCCAGCTAATTGTCGTACTTTTAGTAGAGACGGAGTCTCACCATGATGACCAGGCTGGTCTGAAACTCCTGACCTCAGGTAATCTGACCACCTCAGCCTCCCAAAATGCTAGGATTATAGGCATGAGCCACTGCACCAGGCCTATTTCTTATTCTTGTCTAGTTTATAAGACATTAAGAAAATTGTGGAATAAATAGAAAAAAAGTCACTTTTATTTCACAATAATATTTCTATTTTACAGTAATACTATTACTGTGAATTACACAGAATTACTATTTCACAGTAATAGTATTAGAAATATAAGACAAATAGTAAAATAAATGTTATTTAAGGAATTCCACAACAGATTATTTCCTGCGTGGCATACCCGTTTGAGGCCATGCCATTCAAGCAACTCAGAGTGCACAAATTATACCCTTAGGTTGTTTATCCAAGCTATAAGCTCATCACACAAAAAAGTGAAACATTCTCTTAACCAATTTGACAATTTCATACCTAATAGCTAATTTGATTGATATTTTTGACTGAACTTTCCTAGTGTTAGAGGGACTAGTTAAAATAATGTAGTTGACATTTATTGAATTTACTACTGTGTACAAACATACCCCTCCGATAAATTAAAGGCTAAATCAGCAATCTAAAAACAAAAAGTTTTTTTTTTTATCCAAGAATAAGGTTAGGCTGAAGAAGGCTCAAACAGAATCTTGTAGGATTCTCTGTGTTTCCAGGGAATCTGACTATATTTTAATTACACTTCAGTAGCAGATGCTGTTAATGCCCCAGTCCACAATGGTGAATCAGTCCACCTGCAGGCATAGAGGACTGTTCCTGTACTCATTGTCTCATCTCGAGGGTCCGAGTCTCATCCTGCTTCTCTGCCTCAAGATTTTCTCTAGCACCACGGAGGCTTGTTCAACCAAGTACAGGGCAGCTTGAAAGGAATCTGAGTGTTAACAGCCCTAAAGTCAACCCTCACCCATGAGCCTAATTAGGGACATATTTACCCCAGCTTTCCATCTATCATTGTGAGAATTCTGAGGTATGTTTTGTATGAAACCTCAGAGGGAAGATATACAAGAAGCTGGAGCAAGATGAAGCTCCATATACTTGCATGTGTGGACCTGCTCATTATTATGTCCTTTCTCGACTTTTCTCCATTCTCGGTCTTGTTTTCCCTACCCTCTCACTTCTGCTTGCTTCCTCAGGTCACCTCCTGTTAAACTATTTTCATTGTATGCCTAAAGGAAATCCAGACTAAAGCAACTTCCAAAAACAGTCTGGCAATTTTATTATAAAAAATGTCTAGAATTTTTAGCATGGGCACCATATAGGTAACATGACTCCAGAGAACTTATGTTTTCATAAGCAGGATTAAAAGATTGAAGACTTCTGTATGGCAGAAGAGAGATGTGGCTAAAAAACAGAGACTTTAGAACAAGATTGCAGAGGTTTGAAACTCCCTCAACTAGTTACTTCTTGATCTCACTGCTTTAAATTCCTAGAGATATTAATAAGCTTGAACTAGTAAGTTGCTGTGAGAATCAATCATAGAACAGCTTCTGACACTTCACAAACAAATGCTGAATATTTGCTATTGCTGTTATTATAGGTTTTCCAATTTGGCCTAGAAGCAGTGGTTGAAACAGCTCTGGTGCCAGTGAATACGACTTCCAGAGGAAGTATTGCTGAGGAATACACTGAATGTCCATTATTGTTTCAAGCATGTCTATTTGGCTTTGCTGATAGTTAGGTTGAGGGCCAGAAAGTCAAATAACTCCTACTCAAATCAGGCAATACAGAAACAATGTGTATTAGAACTATATTTCATGTTTTATTAAAAAGAAAATAATAGTAACAATTAAGAAAAAAGAATTATTTTAAAAAATATATTTTGTTAACCCAATATATCTAAAATATTATAATTTCTACATGAAATGATAATTATTAATAAAATATTTTACATTTTTTTCATACTGTGTCTTGGAAACTTGTGTTGTACTTTATTTTCACAACACACCTTAATTCAAACTAGCCCCATTACAAGGATTCAATAGCCACATGTGGCTAGTAGCTATCTTTATTGGATAGTACAAACTTAATTAACAATATACTAATATTGCTTAGGAAGTGGCTCAGTCCAATACTGTATGTGTGTATGTGTGTCTGTGTGTGTATGTAAAGTTTTATTTTGTTTTAAAATGACACATCATAATTATACGTATTTATGGGTAACTATTATTTCAATACACCTGTGTATTGTATAATGATCAAATTAAGATAAGTATCACATCCATCACCACATCCTCCCACCTGTTGGCTACTTTATGAACTATTTCAAAGTTTCTTTGCAAGTAGAATTATTTAATATGCTTACAGTTTCCTTAGCTGCTACTATGGGGCTGTCAATTCTCAATTCATTGAATAGTCCTGTGTGTATTTCTAGAGGCCCATCTATCTTCTCACATTCTATTTTTACCCTGTCATGAATTGTGAAGCCAGACAATAAAATTTGTTTGAATTGCTTTCAAAGATGCCTGTGTATTTGTGAGTGAGAGTCTGAGATGTTTTAAGAGCAAAGGACAGGATTTTTATCACTCAAGGCGTGTATGTGCTGGCCTTTTTAGTTTTGGTTTTTGTTTAATTTTCAGCTCTTGATTTCATTCTTGATAATTTATATTTTTAATAAAAGGATACAATGCACTGTGTGTGTGTGTGTGTGTGTGTGTGAGAGAGAGAGAGAGAAAGTTGATGAGTTGATAATCACTATATTTTTACCCATAGCTTTGAGAGTATAGCATTTTTTATCTTCTACCCAAGCAGGTCACCATGAGGACAATAATATGACAATCCGTTATCATTAACTCTGTTGGAGAGTTTTGAAGACACTAGAGAGAGTTAAATGACCTGGAAAACTCAGTCTATGGGAAAGTCTATTGTATTCATCTCTGTTATTTCCACTGCCATGCATCATTGAAATCTTAGAATATGATTTCCTATAGTGACATATAGACACAACAGAAAATTTTCACCTTCCTTTTAACCCCAAATAAAATCTCAGAGATTTGAAATATATTTTCTATTCCACATGCTAGCTTAGTATCAAATACATTATTAATACATTATTAAAAGTTATTTTCAGAAAGTAATTATAAAATGTTTTATTATTTTAAGTAATCAATCTATTTGGGAAGCATAGCGATAGTAGGAAATATTCAATAAAATATGGATATTGTTTGTAGATTAAGTCTATGAAGTGGTGGTCATGCTAAGTCTTGCAGATTTTCCCCATTCTATAAAGCAAAAAGAATGCATGAGAATTTATAAGTATAAGCAACTACAATTTTTAAGCTAATTTCCCTGAAACCTATCTGTTTTATTGTATGTGTAAGTGTAGCCCCAAAAGTCACCTAAATCACAGGTGATCCAAAAATGTGTTTCTTTTTTTCCCATTTTCAACATATCAGAAGAAAATTAGGTAAGAAAAAATTGTTTGAATAGTAAACATACCAGCTTGCCAAATGTAGCATTAAAATAAAAGCATAAAACTTTTTACAAATGACATTTGCAATCATGGTAATAGAATAGATTTGACTAAACACTGATCTTGTGCCACAATGTGCAATTTAAAAGCTACCCGGGAAGTTTTTTGGACAATTTATTATGCTTTTTCACACATGAAATTATCACTAAAAAGCATATATAGGTAGCGGCTTCTAAATTACGATGCATGAAAGTATGGATATTTTAACTTTATTTACAAAGGAAAAAGAAATACGGTTGCGCTAAGTGAATTATATCATTCATGAAATAACATTCCAATATTTGAACCTCTGGCTATCGCCTCTTAAAATTTAGTAAGGTAAATACTGACACTTGGAAACCATTTACAGTGTGATCTTGGATACTAATAGACTAATTAGTTAATTTACCATACATTAGCTGCAGGGGTTTTCTGCTTCCTAATTTTGACATCTTGTCACTGATGATAATAGATCATCACTTGAAGATGACCTAACATTTGTAGAGGCGTGGTTGCCAATTCTCCTTATTTACATTTTAACTCTCTCTTTCCCTTAATTGTTGTACACCATAATAGAGTAAGAGAAAAACTTCAATCTGGAGAAATAATTTGTAAATAAAACAGGCGTATGTATATGATAAAAAAAACTGTCTTTGTAACCGTGACTATCAGCCATATCAACTGTTACTTATGTAATTTATTCTTCAAATATTAGTTTAAAATGCACTATGTGGAAGACATTATCGGGGCACAGATTGGTATAAGATACAATACCAAGCTTTAAAATTATTGTATAGAAAATAAAAGCAGAAGAACAAATATTGATACTATCAGTTATTATGCAGCATGTTTCTTTTATTTCATATAAGATGAGACTGAGACATTGTGGAAATAGTAGGATTTGATCTTAATTTTAACATGAAAAGTGGAATAATTTGGAGCATAGGGCATGCCAGATAGGGTTAAAATATAAACAGAGAAATTAGTGAAGGAAAGTAAAATGCATATTTGGGGATAATGAGTTGTCAAAAATTAGTGGAATATAAATTATTTTGTGAATAATAGTTCTATCAGTTAGCTATTGCTATATAACAAATCACCCCAAAACTTTATGTTTTAAAACAACAGTAATTTATTATCATTAACTCATCTTGAGTGGCTGAAGGTCAGCTGATTGTGGCTGGGTTTGGCTGGGATGTTTCATCTGGGATGACTCTATTCCACGTCTCTCTTTTTATTCATTATTCTCTTGATGGTGAAAAAAGAGCAACATGGCTCATGGAAATATGCATTGTGTCTTAAGGCCTGACCTCACAGCTGGTATACTATTCCTTTTGTTAATTCAATTGTTCAAAGCAGGTCACATGGCTAAACCCAAAGTCAAGAATCAAGTAGGTATATTTTATTCCTTTGCTGAGAAGAGCTAGAAAGTCAGACACTGAATGTGCAGAGATAGGAAGAGTTAAAAAATTAAATACAACATTGCAATTTACTAAAATGTTAAACTGCAAACTTGGAAAGTTGATCTACTGCAGATATGTAAAAGTAATGATTGCTAAATATTTTCTTTTATTATTATTTTACAGGTAAAAGAAAGTTATTAAAAGTCTAGGCACCAAGGTGTTTTGTCACAATTGTGTTTTCTTTTTCATTTATTTTCCACTATAGTCACCTCTGTCATTTTGTTAACTGCTTTTTGTGGGTCTAAAATATCTTTCTGCATGTTGAGGTAATTAAATTATTACCAATTTCTTCTTTCTAAAATTTAAAGTTCTGCCTTTTAAGTCCTACATCTATCTATAGTTATTTTAATTTATTTATTGTATGGCATTCTGAGAGATCTTATTTTAATTTTTGATGAGTAATATATTTTACTAGCACAATTTATAGCATAGTCCATTCTTTCTCCACTGGTCTTCGGTATCACATCACTTGTATATCAAGTTTTCATAGAGGCAGAAAATGTTCTCTGAGCTTTCTAGTATCTTCCAAAGGTTACTGCAAGGCTCTACCCTGTCCCCAAAACACACTGTCTTAATTTTGCTAAATTAACTTTTTGAAGTTAAACCAAAATAAAACCAATTGAGGGAAGCTTAACACTCTTGAAAATCGAGTCTTCCTGTCTACAAACACAATATATCTCTCCATTTTTATGCATCTCAGTAGGCTTTTGCATATATATATTTGTGTTTGTGTGTGTATGTGTGTGTGTGTCTGAATGTGTGTGTGTGCACATGTGTGTGTGTATGTTTATTTTTAGGCATCTCCTTTATCAAGTTTAGGTCAGAAAAATAAAAATAAATTTTTAGGTATTTTAATTAAAAAGAAATTTAGATATCAACTTGTTTTAAACTGTTAGAAAAGCTGAAGAAACAAATGACAGGAAAGACCACTGCTAAATCTTAAAATGACTGAGAGTTTTCAAAGAGTGGGTCATTGCAGAACTCTAGATAACTACCAGCAATTAGCACAGCTTCCAGCACTGAGGCATATGATACTAAAAAATGCATCTGAGGCCACTGTGGCTGCTTCTCTTACATTTTCCCTATCTCTTGTACATCTCCCATTGAGTGGCACCTCATCATGAATCCTGCTAACAGGTGTTTTGAGAAACACAGTTATCAGAGTCCCTGGCCTTCTAACATTCTGGAGAGCACAAGAATTAGGAAAGGGTGCTGTGTACTAACCCAAAATCCAGCACAATACTACGCAATCATTATTTCCATTATGTATGAGATCTCTTTTTATTCCATTTTCTAATCATTTATGACAGATAGATAGGAATGTATCATTTTTCTTTGTTAGTCTTATATCCCACAAGAGCCCGAGAATGCAAATATTAATGCCCAAAGGCCAAATCTATATTTTCTTCCCTTCCTTTCCCTCTCTCCTTCCCGCTCTTCCCCCTTACTCTGTCTCTCTCCTTCCCTCCCTCCTTTCTTCCTCCTTCCTTCCCTTCCTTCTCCCTTTCCTTCCTCCCTTCCTCCTTGCCTCCCTCCTCCCTCCCCTCCCTCCCTTCCTTCCTTTCTTTTCTTGTTTCCTTCTTTCTTCCTTTCTTCCCTTCTTTCCTGATGTACTTCTTTTCCTTTTTTTTTTAAGTCTTACGAGACTTTCAGTAAGTTTCAGTCCACTCGGTGGTTAAAAATGTATGCTACTTATTCTATGACAATAATAACCATCTGCTAAACACTTTTCAGATACCAAGCTTTAAATATAAGGGATTGTGTGTGTGTGTGTGTGTGTGTGTGTGTGTGTGTGTGTGTGTCACTGCTTGTATATGTACAGATATAGATAAGATCGATTTTGTGTGAACTTTTTGCACCCTTACAAAAATGAGATAGTATTCACTTTTTTAGTCAAATGAAAGTTGAGGTTTATAAAAATTGAGATACAGCCAAGTATCTTCAGTCAGCAAATATTACAGCACAGAGTCAATCCTAGTTTTAACTTATTTCAAAGCCTATAATCTTTCCATTTGTTAGAATTGCCTCAATACACTCAGCATATGTGACAGTTTCTAAGCAGAAGTCTGTATCTAGTTAAGAATTTGTCTGTCTGGGATTCACTCTGTATACTAAGCTTAGCGCAGAGAGATGAACTGAATTTCAGACCCATCTAATGAAGAGATAGAGCCCTTCTTATGTTGTAGGACAGCCTTGAGGTGTTCAGGTGACTGAGCCTTCAGACTAAGAGTTCCATTTCTTGTTTGTGAGCAGAGGTGGATGGAAATTTTCTTATACTCAAAACTTACTCCAGAAAATAAATATTTCCTCTGTTTCCATGAGTTATTTCCACAACGGAAATATTAAATAAATGTTAACATTTGCTGAGCAAGTATCATATAGGAGATATTTTGCATACATTCATATTAATGAAAGTGTTTGCATGTTTTCAACCTGTGGATGCCTTGTGTCACACTAGCAAAAATTTATGTACTAGAAAGCCTATATGATCTGTTACATTATCACACTAAAATATATTCCTTATTTTTCTTCCTCTTGCTTTGGGCAAATTCAGTTTTCTTACATCTCCTTAGGAACTTCAACTTGGAAAATATTAATGCACCAACATATTTCCTATGGATAGGCTGATAATGAAAATAATCCATCGATATCCAACTTGAACCACCCCGTCCCACCACCATAACTGGCAGATAGAGATAAATGCTGTCCAAGAAATTCATGCAGCCTCAGATTACAATGTTTCACACCAACTTATACATGTATTTACTTAAGCCATTCTATTTAGTTTCACCTTACTAGGTTTTTTTTTCTTTTTCCTGTTTTTTTTCTTTTTTTTTTTTTTTTTTGAGATGGAGTTTTGTTCTTGTTGCCCAGGCTGGAGTGCAATGGTGTGATCTTGGCTCACTGCAACCTCCGCCTCCTGGGTTCAAGCAATTCTCCTGCCTCAGCCTCCTGAGTAGCTGGGATTACACACATGCACCATCATGCTTGGCTAATTTTGTATTTTTAGTAGAGACGGGGTTTCTCCATGTTGGTCAAGCTGGTCTCAAACTCCCGACCTCAGGTGATCCACCCATCTCGGCCTTCCAAAGGGCTGGGATTACAGGTGTGAACTACCATGTCCAACCTTACTAGGCATTTTTATACTTCATATAACAAATTTTCCTATAAAATACTGGAAAACAATATTTTCTAAAACACAAAAAACTATATGTGTAGTTAAAATAAATAACCAATTTTTGCAAGTAGTAAAACACAGATGTCTATAAGAACCACCTCAAAATTAATCAGGATTTTGTTGTTGAATAACAATTTTGTGTGGAACTGTTCCATCTCCCTTCCTGATGATAAGAAATTACGCTTTTCATTCATCTGGACACATGACCCTTGAAAGATTGCTGTGGACACTCTAATTGCTAAGAAATTCTTTCGAGTATTCATTCAAAACTGTCTCCGTCCACCTTCCTTCATTATTTTGTCAATTCTGGCCACACTGTAAACATTTTAGCAAGTAGTAGCACTGTTAATTTACACAATACTTATGTCGCAAACGATATGAGAAATTTTTTCTCTTCAAATTTCTGTGTAATTGTCAAGAGCTTTAAAGATGAACATTAGATTTCCTATTTTTGAAATTCAGAGCACATTCTACTCTATTCTTATCAACTGTAATACTCTCTAAGAGATGCATACATTGATACTTAGAGGTTTCCCTTCATGAATTGATGAGAATCCTGGCAATGCTAAAAATCTATAAACCTAGAGCCATTCAGACTCTTCTCTAATGAAATAAAGCTCTTCCACTTGGAGCTGAGCCAGTGTCTCCTGGATGAGTTGTATAAGTTATTGAGTGAAACATTTCATTCTCAAAGGCTGAACTCAGGACCGCTTTTAATATATATTGCCTCTTATTATGGCAGGAACTGAGTTGGTTGTGTCAAGATGAAACTGTCAGTTTTGCCGCTGAATGTTTTCAGTTGTTACAGTGACAGATTAGGTGCAAGTATATGAATGAAATGGCGTTTTATTTAAAATGACACTGTGAATCCACTCTTGTCAGAATCATCAATTCTAATTCACTTATGTCTTTTTGGAGTGCTCAGTTTGTCTCATTTGCTTCAATTGCTTCCTATTCTACCAATATGCTTTTCAATTAGTTGGAAGGAGCAACAACAAAAATGGCATAATAAGAGTGCACTTTGCTCTGCCAAACCTGATTCCACAGGTTCTCTGTACAGTTAAATACACTCTACATCCTCAACTTGAAACCTGAATTTATTAATAGATTGACAAAGAGCCTCTTCTAAAAAATTAATTAGACTTCTGTTGAATTACATGAATTTAATACAATTTGGTTGGTAATTGATAGAATGCACCAGTTCACAGGTGTCCAAGACATTTACTCTATTCTATTTCCATCTGCTGATGTGTCTAGCATAAATTCAAATTGCTTATCCATCATCCATCTGGAAGTGAGCATTAGATCTGAAACCCTCTTACATACAGCTGCTGTGCTGTGTTCAGTGGTTCGGTTGTCTTTCTTTGAATGTCACAAGCATCATAAACAACTTGTTTCTAACATTACTAAATTCAATTAAGGTGCTTAGATTTAATTTATCTCTAGTAGTCACAGATATCTCAGAAGTAAAAAAAAATATAGAGTTTGATTTGTTAAGGTGCGTCCATGATTATGAGTTAAGAACAAAATGTTTATATATAGGAAATAACAGCTTCCAAGATGTTTACGTTTATAGACAGAATACAGATTATTATTATTATTTTGTGTATGTAACCTATTCTTAAATCATTCTTATTGTAACAAATAGAACTTTGATGGCAAAATTTGGCTTACAATCTGTCTAATGTTAGAATATAGCAATGGATTAATTTATATGGAACTCAATTTTTTCCCATGATTTGAGGTTTCACTGTTAGATACTTCCCCTTCCCTTCTTTATACTTTGTCTTTAAATTTTTTTCTTTTATGTGGTTGCTTTTCTTCACAAGATTAATTTAGAGATACCTGGTACAGTTAGGGCCTGCAATCAAAATGACAGACTGGCATGATTTAATGAAATGAATAAAAGACACATGGAAAGTAACATTTTCTGCAACGAGCTGCTAGAATTTGAGTGTGGCTAGTAGAAAGTAAAATCACATATCGTGGTAAAACTTCAGACTCCTACATCTTCCAAAAGAACTGCTCTCACATCCACATTTAGTAACTTCTCTTCTTTAATGCTAATTTTCAAGCTTGAAGGTACTGAAAGCATAGAGTAGGATGAGGAAACTCCTCTCCTATTTTGAATCAATTAACCTGGATTAACCTAACAAGTTAAAGGATAAACAAGTGACAGCCTTGAAATTGGGTACACTATTGTCAACATTTTATAAATAAGCAGAAAATAAAGATAATCATTCTATATTCATAGTGTATTGACCTTCTTGGTTGATTATCTAAAAAGTACATCAGAAGTATTGTAGTTAAATAGCACACAATGGATTTAATTCAAGATCGTCTACTGGTGCCACTTAGTCGTAAATAATAAATGTCCATTGATGTATTTCAAAGTATTTTAGAGTATTCATTTTAAAGGATTATTATTACACAATGCCCAGTTTCACTCAAAATAAGTGAATCACTCTTTAGTAATTTCTGTTGGTTACGTAAATATGTAAGAATGCGGAGCTGTTGTGCAAACTGCATAAAAGTCGTCTGCCTTCAGAAGATCCCCGTTCCCTGGTGGGGATGACACTACCTCTCTCCACCCATGACTTCCTGCTTATTTAACTTTAAGCATTGTCTTAAAATTCGAGCACATACAAAAAGCACAAAAGCCATCCACTAGCACATTATATGTCGGTTGAGAAAGATATCATGGAACAGGAGGCTATATCTGAGTACTGTTTTTCTTACTGTTTTCAGCCATTTTATACCACATTCAGTTACTTGCCATCCTCATATCAAACTAAAAAATTAGTAAGAACAAATATTTTACTGTGTTTCACTTTTAATAATATTTGCAGAATATTTATAGAGCATTTATGTTACTGACACAATCAAGGTGTTTTCAATTCAAAGACAAATCACTTAATTTGAGAAAATAACATATTAAGCTTTAGCATATTCAGCAGTTGTATTAGGAGCTCCATTAAGGATATGCATGAATCTTATATTTTTTTTCAACATGTCTTTCAATTTTATAGGCAGTTTAATAAAGATGAACCATACCTGCTTTCTGAAAACAGGGTCCAAAGTATGCTCTTGACAAAGGAACTGGTATCTGTAAAGTAATCCTTTTGCAGTAGTCATGCAAAAATGATGCTTAGTAGATCTTGAATGGCATTAAATGGCAATCCTTTAAAGACACCTGTTAAGAAATAATATATACTATTGTGATAAAAATCATCCTTTTTTTCAACTTTGCTTGACCAAAACCCATGCATCTTATTAAATATTTTAGATCAATGTTCTATTTAGTTATACATACAATCACTATGCTTTTTACCCATATAAACACATACAGCTTCTAATTAGGTATATTTATGTAGTTGCTTTTTCAGATGTATTTTTCCTTTATAATTTATATTTAATAATATAACATAATGTCACTCTAAGCTTACATGGGCTACAATAGCTTAGAATATTTAACACACTAACTTATACCACCATTCCAAGCTTTTCTTAATATTTATAAGACAATAATATGAAAATTCTATGCTATTCCTAGCATATGCAATGTTAAATTTATTATTTATTTTATTTAAGAATTTACAGCTGGGTGCAGTGGCTCACACCTGTAATCCAGGCACTTTGGGAGGCCGAGGCAGGCGGATCACGAGGTCAGGAGATCGAGACCATCCTGGCTAACACGGTGAAACCCCGTCTCTACTAAAAATACAAAAAAGTAGCTGGGCGTGGTGGAGGGCGCCTGTAGTCCCAGCTACTTGGGAGGCTGAGGCAGGAGAATGGTGTGAACCCGGGAGGTGGAGCTTGCAGTAACCGTGAGTTGTGTTAGGAGCTCCATTAAGGATAGGCATGAATGGGGCCACCTCTATTCTCTTTATTTCTAATGAAGTTCATTGTTTAATGAAATTCTCTATACACTGAAATTCATATTTCCATTAAATTTAATCTTTGGTAGATTATTGATGTATTAGGATTGAAAACCTAGCGTAGCTACCCATACATATATTTCAAATAAGAATCTAATAACATATTTCTTATTGTTTTCAGCAATTTTACACTATCTTCATGAACTTGCCATCCTCATATCAAACTAAAAATTTAGTGAGGACAAATATTTTACTGTTTTTCTCTTTAATAATATTTCCAGAATGTTTATAGAGCATTTATGCTTATTGACATAATCAAGGTAAGGAATATAAGTTTTAGAACTTGAGATTGATAACCTCAGAGTGATTGAAGGCCATCAAGTAAGATTCCATGTTAAAATACTACCAAGAGTCCAGGGAAACCTAAGGTACATATTTCATGATCAGATTGATAAAAAGTATTTCAGTTGCTTGTAGTTGTCACTACCAAAGGGTATTGACCTTTATGACTTCTATTTATATTATTTGGAACTTCAGGAAATTGACATTTTTGTTAAACAAAAGTAGTGAAATATCAGCAATTTTAAATATGTCGACCTAAGATTTCCTTTAATCTCAGCTTGCATTTCTGATATCAAGTCTAAATTATAGATATTATTGTAGTATACAAATTGTGAACAGAAGGAACTATAGATTCCTTTTTGTCTTCCTTGCTTCCTCCCTCTGTCTCTTCCTCTGTTTCTTCCTCCTTCCCTCTTTTCCTCGCTTTTGTCCCTCTTCCTTTTTTCTTCTCCCTTCATTCTTTTCTTAATATTGTAACAATTTTACATTTCTGCTTTATGCCTTCTTGCACAAAATTAAAAACTAAAAAAGGCAGGAATTTTGTTGAGGTTTACAAACTTAGGCGGAATGATAGTTACTTAAGCAAACAGCACATCTTCATTTTAGGATTTGACAAGTTATGTTTTTTTCATCTTGGATTGTCATTAAGATGAATGTTTTTGGAAGTCAGAATTTTGTGTTCTTTTTACTGCCATTACTTCTTAGCAATTATACAGTGCATCATTTTTCCCTACTATATGGAAATACTGAGAACATTAAATGAGATAATACACATAAAAAGCTTACCAACATGTCTAGCACATATTGAGCAAATAAGAAGTATCACTAATTATTTTCACATTTCATTATGAACTAACATAGCAAAAGAAAAAAATTATAATGAACTGTATTGTTGTGGTGATGGTTGTCATTTTCCAATTCCTTCCTCAAGTTTCAAGTTTGCTTCTTAGAAGCAAAACTTTTCCATTTTGTCTCTGGAATAAACT
Organism: Homo sapiens; assembly: GCF_000001405.40. NCBI lineage: Eukaryota > Metazoa > Chordata > Mammalia > Primates > Hominidae > Homo > Homo sapiens. The sequence continues at coordinate 99,323,332 of NC_000011.10, read as the reverse complement.
CATGCTTGTCTTTAAGACAGTATGTTGTGATGACGAGACTACTTCATTTGCAGTCAGAGTCAGACTTCTTTAAGTTTCTACCATATACTTATGCTTAGATCTTAAACACTTATTTAGCATTTCTGGGGGTAATGATGTCAGATCCTATGTCTGCTCAAGGAATTATAATAAAAATCTTAAGAAATAATAGATGAGAAAATTATTCCTAAACTGAAAGTTTTACATATGTTAGTTGTTATTCCTCAAGTTACACTTTATGAAAAAGAATGACCTTTGCCAACCTATATTTTTCTCTCCATTTCTTTGAAAGCTAGACCAAATCTAAATAAATAATCGTAGGCGACTTACTGAAAAAGAAGGTAAGTTGTCTTATTATTTCACAACCTTGCTTCACACACCATAGGTCAACATACATTTATCTTGTATAGTTTTGCTGTGATTTTTTAATCTAACATGAATTTTACTTTACAGATGGAAAAATAGCCTAAAATTGTAAAAGCCATGTAATCACCTGATATTCTTATTTTCTTTTTTACAATCATAACTCCCTCTATTTCAAATCATCATCAGTATCTGTATCTTCTTTTTAGAGTTTATCTCATTTCTCTCTTTTATTAGGCTGGGATACAAAAATTTGTCCCTTATCCTAGAGTGGCTGTCTTGAATAGACTCTGCCTGTAATTTTCTATTCTTAATGTGTTATTGACCAGAAAAACAAATATTTAAACTTAACATGAAATAAAACCTTGTAATTAAACCTTAAATTGATAATTAATTTTTATCAACAACATAGTAACTTCAAGACAGTATTCAGCACTGTTCCCTATGCTTCAAATGACCGCTTGCCACCCCTGTCCACCTGAAGAGCTTCTATTCATGTTAAAATCCTGGTTTAGATATGAGATTTTTAAAAAAGTTTTCCTGATAATTTTTTGTGTTCTTTCTACTTCTGAAACTTGCTACAAATTACCTTATTAAATGTATTGCCCAACACTAAGTGATACATCATTGGTGCTCTTATAAGAAGACGAAATTTGGGTACACAAGTAGACACCAGAAACATGTGCAAGCAGTGTGGTGATCAAGTGAAGACAGGAGTAAGGCCGCCGACTGCAAGCTGGGGGAAAGGCCTCACAAGAGACCAAGTCTGGCGCAACCTTCATATTGAACTTCTAGCCTCCAGAATTATGAGAAAATTTTCTGTCATTTAAGCCAACCAGTCTGCGGTATTCTGTTTTATGGAAGCCCTAGAAAACTAATACAACTGGGGACAAGGAGATCTGGGGAATAGACATACAAGTTTATGGACACTCTACAATTTGGTAAGCAAGAGGCACTAAACAAACCAGTGCACAGAATGGCTTGGCAAACTAAAACCAGTCTCTTTCATCAGCCATTGTAGTATGAGCACATTGTAGTATAAGCACACTGACACATTAACAATGTGGCCACGCTGGCAGAGATGGAGGTTATGCATGGTGCCCAAAACATGAATCCTCGTTCAACAAAAGCTGATCTACCTACTACCTCTGTAGAAATCTCAACCTTCCAGCAACTGAGCGCTACACTGAGATCACCCACTACCCTTCACCAATATGATATTATTGATTCTACTCAATCAATCAATCAAGGTGGAAGGAATAGCTTTTGAGTAGAATCAAAGCATATCTTAGGTGTGGGTTTCCCTTTCTTGCCCACATCTCTTCAGCTAGCAGCACTCTCCAAGAAGTAACCAAGTCTTTGATCCACTGACACAGAACTTGGATAACATTACATAGAACTGATGGCCATACTTATTATCAAAGGAGGTACATCAGTGGACATATGATCACAGGATACACTGGTTTAATTACATACCACATTACCCAGAAGCCTAATGAATGGGATTATTTTTAACAGTATTTAAATACATTAAAATGTTAAAAACAGTATTGAATACATTTAAGTCCTCTCTATCTGAATATATATATGTTATATATATATAATGTATATAAATATATGTATATAATATAAAATCTCCTTTCTGTATTAGTCAGTGTTCTCCAGAGAAACAGAACCAGTAGGATGTATGTGTGTGTATGTCTGTCTGTGTGTTGTATGTGCACACGTGTGTGTGTGTGTGTGTGTGTATGCAATTGGAATTAGTTTATGTGATTATGGGAGCTGACAAGTCCCAAGATGTGCAATTGGCAAGCTGAAGGTTTAGGAGAGCCAAAAACGTACTTCCAGTCCAAAGGCTGGCAGCATCAAAACACAGCAAAAGCTGACGTTTCAAAGTCTGAAGGAAGAAAAGAAAAACAAAAAAACAAGCAATGTCTCAGATCAAAAGCTGGCAGGCAGAAGACATTCCCTCTTACTCACAGGTGGGTCACCCTTCTGTTCTATTCAGGACTTGAACTGATTGGATGGGGCCCACTCTCACTAGGGAGAGCCATCTACTTTACACGGTTAACTGACTGAAATTTTCACCTCATCAAGAAACACTCACAGACACACCCAAAATAATGTTTGACCCAATGTCTGGGGAGCCCATGGCCCAGGCAAGTTGACACATAAAATTAGCCATCACACTGTCTTAACCTTACATCACCCTTCAACATTTGCCCTATTTTATTCTTAAACAGTACAACTATATTGAATAAAAAAAGATATCTGTACTTACTCCCCTCCTTTTTATACATCATACTTTTTCCTTTCCCATTGTTATATACCTTTCATTCTCAATATTTCACTTTTCTTTTTCTGTGCCTTAGAAGGTTCTTAAGTGTTGAATTCCTCCGTGTTTGATTCTGGCTTTCTTTAATTCCTAAACACTTCCTAGGCAATCCATGGCTTCAATATGCCACCTATACACAAAAAACTTCCAAATTTATGTCTCTTTTTTCCCTTGGATTCCTCAAAGTCACAACAAAATTACATGTGTAAAACTGACACTAGGAACTATGCCTGCTTCCTTTCATTGTCCCTTCCAACAGCAATGGTAACAATAATCATCTCGTCTTCCACTGTTCTCAATCCCAGTCAATACTTTCATCATCTTCCTAGCTGTATAAACCATATATCCTAAAGCCATTTATTTATTTGTTTATTTGAGAAGGAGTCTTGCTCTGTTGCCCAGGCTAGAGTGCAGTGGTGTAATCTCAGCTCACTGCAAACTCTGCCTCTGGGTTCAAGCGATTCTCCCACCTCAGCCCCACCATGGGTAGCTGGGACTACAGGTGCCTGCCACCATGGCTGGCTAATTTTTGTATTTTCAGTAGAGACGGTGTTTCACTATGTTGGCCAGGCTGGTCTCGAACTCCTGACGTCAAGTGATCCACCAGCCTCTGCCTCCCATAATGCTGGGATTACAGGCATGCTAAAGCCATTTCTGACATCTCATTCTTCCTCACCCATGAATTTATTTATCAAATCATGTTTATTTGACCTCTGTATATATCTCAGGTCTGTTTCTTCTCCATTTCCACTCCCACTCTTGTTTGAATGAGCATCTTTTCTGCATTCACCATTGAATTGGTCTCCCTGCATTTCACTGTCGGCCTACTTCAAAGTTTTCTTCATGATGAAGCCAGAATGGTGGTTCAAATTGCAAATCAAATAAATGTCTAGATATGGTTTTTAAATTTATATAAATTTAAAAAATTTACATACTGTGCTTTGTACTTTGTATACATGAAACTAATTGATGTCAATAATGTATATAATTTTTATTGAGTCTCCATTATGTGATATACACAACACCAGTTACTGGAAATTCAAAAAGTGAACAACATAAGGTCTCTGAGCATAAACATTATGGTCCAGTGGGAGAATGAAACTGGTGAATAGCCAATTCCAATGCTGTGTGATAAGTTCTCTAATAGGGGTCAGCTCGGGTGCTATAGAATCACAGGAAGGGCATCCAGCCCATTACTGAGCATTCAGAGAAGGCTTTTATGGGGAGGTGACTTCCACCTGAAGAAAAATACGAACTGAATCAAACACCAATGGGCGACTATCATTGTGACCAGGGAGATCAGTTGAGTCATGTGGTTGGCCATATCATTTGACACATTAAGGACGTTTTCTAGGTTATTGTGAGAGTTAAAAATAATCATGAAGTAAATACCAATGATAACAGTAGACTCCATACTTACACACATATTAAGTATCAGTTTACAAAATCCTTCCGAATATATTAACCCATTTAAGCTTCAACCCAGTGCTACTGATGTCAAGATAGTTTTTTGTTTTGTTTTGCTTTTTCCCCCACAGAGCCTATAGCATAAAAAGCTTACAGAGTGAGTGAATGTTAGAATCTGGAATAGCACAGTCCAATTCACCTTTTCTATAAACAGAATATAAAATTCTGTCATCTCTAAATGGACTTAGTTGATCTAATGTGTATAAGACTGCAGATTTTCAATTAATACCAAACCTTCATATTTGTCTTTTCAAGGATATTTAAAACTTTAACTTTTAATTTAAGTGTTGATTGTCTTGTAGTGAACCATTCATGATATGGAGTCAATGTTTAATGATACCAGGTGGATCACCATAATTCCAGATTAACTACATCCCACTGACACAATTTCTTCCCCACCCTGCTGCCACCTGTCTGGTACCAAACCTGCTCAGCTGTGGAAACTGACAGCTGGTTCTTCATGGGGGAGTAGTGGGAGCAGGAGCCAGGTGAAAATGGCTCATTAGCAATGAAATGAAAAAAATATGCAGACTTCCCTGTAGATGTTTTGGATGATGCTCCTCTCTGCCATTGCCGATTGGAGAGTTAATTACAAAAAAAAAAAATAATTCTCAAAAGTTTTTGAAATTACTATGATGTGATGCCATCACATTAAATCAATTTATCTTTATTTCTTCAGCTGAAGTTTTTGTTTTGACATGAATCATAGCATTAGTGCTGAAAGAAAAATATTCTGACATTTTTGCTTTCTGAGCATGTCCAGGGATGTTGTTCTAGAAAGAACCCCAGGATTGGGAGTTGGCATACTGAATTCTAATCATTAATTAGCTGCATAAAATCACATGCTTTCCTTAACTTCTCTGGACTTCAGATTATACATGAAAACAACAGAATTAAATGGCCACAATGATTGAATTGTGCTTAATTATAGACTTTCTTCTGTCCTTTTGGCTTTATTTACTTAAAGTTATCAATAGAACACTTATTTCTCTCAATAAGAATACTTATAATGTACATGTAAGAAGATATTTCTCTTACATTTATGGGTTTTTATGCTGTTTAAAAATCTTTTCATTGTGTATATGAAACGTTTGAAATGTCATTAAAGACAAAGTTTTATACTTGGATTTTGAAACAGAGTTTTCAGTCTAGGACCACACCACCCAGAATCTGCCCAGATTTGTCTGAAATATGGAGGTGACAGAAAAGTGCATGTGGAGACAACCCAGTTGTTATAAAATTAAAAATACAAACTCTTTTGTAAAAAACTCATCTGCTATAAAGCATTAGCAATTGAACTATTTATAGAAGTTTTCTTTTTTTTTACAGTAAGTTAATTATTGTAGAAGGGCTCTTAAATATCCTTTAAATTTTAGAAAATTTATTATGTTTTGCTAAACATTTTTCCTATTTTTAAGATCAAAGCAGTAGCAACGCTAAAATCATAAAGAAGATTAAATGTACGAAACAAGTTATCAGTGCATCGTGGCTCCTTGATATTTAAGCAGTGTTATATTCTTTTCAGGACCTTGATTCTCTAGAGTATGTCAAAATGTTAGGGATACGCTTATGTGCCAAGAATCACCTTGAAACCACCAAGACAGACTGGAAAGGTTCCCAAAATGAGCTTTTCCAAAAACCACATCTCACCCTTTATCGTCTGAACTCGTTTCTCACATATGTGCACTTGTCTTCTGACCTTTCTCATTTCCTGATGGCTTGAAGCTCTGCCATTAGCAGCAAGCACTAGAAGTCATATTGCTACATCTGTCACTATTAGTTAAGAATACCATCCAACTTCAAGATAACTAGAAATTTTCTCCTATAGTCCTTTTTGGCTGCCTCAGTGTAGGGTCAAAAGGGCTGTCTGCAGCAAGTAACAGAGCACGGAATTGGTTGCTGAAATATTTCATTTCATAAAACCATGAACTCCCAGCCCAACTTTGTTACTGCCATTTGTCACGCATTTACCACATGTGTCTTCTGTCTTGAAAAAATAATCTCCCCTAAGCCCAATGTCATGGAATAAAACTGCTTTTCAGACACCAACACAAAAATCTTCGCAAAGGACATAGCCAACTGAAGTCAGTTTTAACAGACTTTATTCTCTTAGGGTGCTGAGAATCTGAGAGCAACTAAAGCTGAAAAAGATCTTCCTTGCTTTTCTACCACTGGCATCGCAGCTGTTAGCACTTCTGGTGTCGAGGTACAAATGTCAGGAAGGTACTGTCAGTCGAGTAACACCCATGAAAAACAGCCTGGCAGCCTGGCTGGCAGCCAGAGCCCGCGATCATTTCTTTATACACGGCTCGGAGCTGGACTTCTGTTATCACTATTTCCTCCGATTGCTCTTAATTAAAGCAGAGAGATTTGCTTCACTTCAATGAAATGAAAGGGTCTTTTTCTTTTTTTTTTTTTGACTCAGTTCAAAAGAGTAATTTCAAAAGTGAAGACTAACTGAAGTGCTTAGAATATTATGGTTCAGCTTTCTGTAATACATTAGCATGTGTGCCCTGGGAGAAAATGGCTTGAATTAAAATTTGTTCCCCAATCCTCCACCGAAGGGTCGTCTACTGAAAATAAAATACACCTGAAAACTTATTAAAACATATGAGAGATATACAACACCTAAATGTTTATTTTCATCACTCTATGAGTCTCAGCGATCATTACCTAGATATACTGTAGAAAAAAATTGTCATTGAAATAATTTCTCAGATTTTAAGAAATTCTAGAATTTACTATAAAAATGTATAGGCAATTTTATTATACCCATTTCCCTCTAAAAATCTGTGATTTGATATTGGTACAACGCTATCACTGCTAAGGAGTAGGAAGAATATGTCTTTTTCGAGGGATGGGACTCGAGGGATTTGAATGTTGACAAACTTCCTGCCATCATCAATTGCCTTATGATTTGTAGTTGTCAGCTTTCATCTTGGATACGATAATTAACTAACTATTTTATCAGAATCTACAGGATGATGCCCTTGGCCTTGGAGCAAATCTAGTGGACATTCTTTCCAAGGACATCTGCTACCCGCGTTCATAATCAGAAAACAGGAATGGTTCCTCTAGAAACAAAAAGTATGCCACCTTTATCATCCAAATTAAAGAACAACTACCAGGGGCTTTACTTCCCACAGCCACTTTCCATATTTGCATACACATATACCCATGAGGCACACAAATCCATTTACCTCTCTATAATTTGCGTCATTCTATCGACTCTATAATTTGTGTCATTCTATTGTCTCTTCTTTCTATCATTCAACTCTTGCTAAGGTTACCAGTGGCTTTCTAATTAAAAGAAATACTCTATGAAAAAAAATCACTGGCTTGCAATATATATTCAATCCCTGTGTAATCCCTGTCACCTTCTAATTTTCAATATCCATGGCCCACTCCGCGATTTACATTCTAAAACTTTGTCTATTCAATATACCCATATAGACTTTCTATATGCTTTCATACCATCCCATAATTTTTACCTTTTTAATATTATCTATTTTTTCCTATGCATTCTTGGCTAAAGCGAAATAAAACAACACAAAATATAAAGTAATGTTCCTTGTCAATTACTTATTTTTTTATCCCAACTATTTCCATCTAATAATTGACTATGTTCTGTTGATGACTCAGAAGTAGGTGCCAAATCTGGAATTTTCTTTTCCATCTCCAAAGTTCAACCTGGTGCTTTCCTCACTCTGGCAATGGCTGAAGTCTGCTAACAGTTCTTCCTCTTCCTCTTTCTCTAATTCCATCTTGCCCTTTAAACTATAACATGTTTATGGTTTCCTTACCAACAAGCCTACAGTGGCACACTTAGGAACAGAAGCATTTGTAGGCTTCCCTTTGCCCACAAAATAATGTTCAGAATGTTTAGCCTGAGGTCATTTGTAATACTTTTTTTTTCTAAATCATTATCTGATAGTTCAGTGAACTACTTATGCTCAGTGAACTATTTATGCTCAGTGAACTACTAGCCAGACCAAATGCTTTTATTCTTCCATGACTACTAGAGGGTATTCATCACTCTGCCTAGAATAAATATCAATGTCTTCTCTACCCTTAATTACTTAATTACTTAATTACTTTAATTGCTACTTAAAGTTTGGTCTGAAGAACAGCAACATCAGCATTACCTAGGAGCTTGTTAGTTAAAAACACAGAATGTCAACACCCCGTCCCCCCACCCACAGAGCTACTGAATAAGAATATGCAATTTTTACAATATCCCACTGTTTATTATATACAACAAATATTCTCTTCTCTGAAGCTACTTTCTTCTTTATCTTCCCACTATATCTTTTTCACATCCTACTAGAGCATCCATCTTAAAGTGTTATGGATATTTTAATTACACATGTGCACCTCCTCCCCATCCTCTTCTTCTTTCTCCTCCCCTCTCTTCCTTTCCTTATTCCCCTCTCCCTTTCTCCTTTCCCTACCCTATTCTCTCACTCACTGTTACTTAATAGCAGTAGTAGGGATAGGAGTTATTGTATTAACCCATTCCTCTGGCTGTGTGACAATCAACTGCTTGCATTTTTCCTTTCAATCCGGTGGTTTCACCTGCTCCATAGAAAGATGCCTTTTCTCTCTCCTTTGTCTAGACAGTAAAATCTCTCACTATTTAATGATGAAAATAAAACTAGCCTTTACATAGTCACTACCGAACAAGTGAAAGTAGTTATTTGGAATGAGATGCTCTATGTCCAAGTGTACATGGTACAGCATAAGCACACCCATAGAATAAATGAAATGGCACTTCAGAATGCTTCATGTAGTAGACTAATAGAACATACTTTTTCTATCAAACTGCATCTGTATAGTTGTGAGATATGGATAGCTAAAATATTTCAGTTCCTTAAAATATTTTATAACACACCAGTATGCACATCCTACTTGGGCTAGCAATGTATTAATTATTGTTCAGCAAATTTACATGGCATAATTTTTTATATATTATGTTATGCCACCCAGAAGCTATATATACCCTCAAAACTGTCATTATTATATTAATTAATATTTGTTGACTATTGGGATATTGAAATTTGTTTATACACGTCTAAACAGCTTCACATGTCACCTTTTACCAACCCCCTTTGGGCTAATTTGAGTTTAAATCTCAGGTTTGAACTTTCTGACTTATGTCCCAGATACCTTAGAGGCAGCTAGTCTTCACCATTCTCCTTCATTTGTAGCCTAGGATATGCTTGTCCTAGAATGTCATTTATCAGTAAATTCCTTATTGGGTCAAGAAAGTCTACGATACGACTAAGGATGAAGCAATATAAACTGATGGCAAAGTTTTTGCAAGCACAATATATACTATTGCAGCTGCAAATCATTAGAATAAATATTTGCTGTTCAGTTGTTTTGATTATTATAGACACAGTTTAAGTGGAGTTTGTTAAATAGAATTTTAATCATGAAATAATTATTACTAAATATTAATTTTATGTGAATTAATCCTTCTTGTAAAGGAGACAAAATATTCCTTGAAATGTACACTTTGAGATAAAGAAGTATATTTTATTTCGTATACAGAGCATCTTTCCTGTGGTAAATTAAATTCACTGGAGCAGATAGGATCCCCATAAACCATAAGTAAATAATTTTCTCCTCTCTTTCCCTATGTGAGAATTTCCCTGCTGTTTCAATGTTAGTATGTTCTTAGCAAATTTTCAGCTGTCTGTAAAAAAAGTCTTAAGTCTAGAATAAGTTAGTGGATGGGCATTTGTTCTTAAAATTAAAAATTCAAATAAAAATGTATTAATAACATTACTTTTATAAGCAAAAGAAGTGAAAATCTGTGTGAAAGCACAAATAATTCAAGCTGAAAATGGGTCACAATGATTTACATATTTCAAGATAATTTGTTTTTACTCCTGAATCATGACGTACATCTGTGAAGTTATTTTACTGGAGTAATCTTACATCATAACTGTTAAAGCCGATTTGATTTCTATTTGATTTCTATTCATTGAATATATTATCCTAGAGAAAATAGCAGTGATAGAAAAAAAAAAAAAACTTCAAATCTTGGATTGCGTGAGATGTCACCTGAGAGGAAGGCTAATCTGTCTATATACGATCGAGTATAATTGAGTGTAGTGTAATTCCAGGTAGCTCTGGGTTTTCTACTTTTATCTCTTACTTATTAGCTCGTTCTATTAAAACCACTATTTTTGTCCAGCCTATGAATAGAATGAGTACCTTCATTAAAATCTTGTCTCCTTCACTTTTTAATAGAAGACCAGCAATTACATCCCTAGGCTTCCAATTGTTTAGGCCATTTATTTGCTGAGGCTCCTGGGGAAAAAAAAAAAATCACTTAATTTCTCTTAAATCCTTTTTTCTTCTCATTTATCATGTAGGATTTTTTGGAATATAATAACAATGGGTAATATTTATTGAATACTTACTAAAATGTTGCAGAATGTTCTAAGCATTTCACACACACTATCTGAATTGTCTTACAGCAATCCTATGCAGAACAGAGATATAGAAAGGCTACATAATTTGTCAATACCATACAATTTGGCATAGAGAGACTGAATAGAACCAATTTTCTTAACTGTCTGACTATATTATAATGCATTCTGCTGAATGAAAAGGAAGGATATTATAGCAGAAACAATTAACTACCATTCGGAGAAAAAATTGTATTTCTTGCAGGTCATGCATTGTGTAAAACACTATTATTGAATATTTACAACAATCCCATAAAGAAGTCAGCATTATTTTTTTAACACATAAAGAATCGAAGGCTCATACAGGATATATAATTTGCCTCTATTCAAAAAGCAAGTAAGTGACAAGATAATTTTTTAGAGGAACATATGTTGTCTTTAACCCCGGTGTTTCATATTATATGTATTTCCCTCTCAAACACTGCCACTCCACTGCAATATTTGAGGAGGCAAATGATATGGATAAAATTGTTTATGTATTATTTAATTTATTTTTTGTTTTGCTTTGTTGTTGGATTGATGCAAAATATATATTCATGTTTTATCAGAACACATTTTCTGTACTACATTTCTGATATTTCATATCACGTGATGCAACCCAGTCACAATCAAAGAATGAATTTGTGGCCACTTGAAATTTATCTCCTGGCTAACCAGCAGTAGCAGTCAACAAAACAGCCAACCAAGGTGATTTCTTCAGAGGTAGTAGCTTAGGAGGTATAAAAGTCTGCAAAGAATTTGGCAAGTTATACCTGTAGATAGTAAACAGGCCTAAAAGTAATTTTTAGGGAAAGAGAAACAACTGAAAGAAAATATTTCTTAATCATCTTCTGGGGCTTTGAGGACAAAGAGCTATAGGTGCTAGAATATTATATACACAATTAATAATATGGTCAGTTTTAATACTACAACAAACTAGCATAAAATAAAAGATACAATTTTCTTAAAATACTAACACTATTGATTTAAAGAGTTCGACTTTTTAAAAAGGCTTATTTCAAGAACCACTTGAAAATAAATTTGACATTAAGTATTATTTATACCTTTGGCAAAGGTCAAAGTAAGAGCATTTGGTTTAATAACACTGGAGCACTCTTTGACTCTAGGGACAAATTTTAGGAGAGCATTGTGATGAGGTTTCAGAACCCCTTCCCTAGTGAAAGAACCACAACTGGTGAAAAATATTAAACAAAAATGAAATCTCTGGAAATTGTCCTAAATTGTCACTCCTCAACTCATTTGATAAGGTCAACACAACTCTGAAGCCCAAATATGACAATGGTATTCTTAAAAAAAAGCAAATTGTAGAACAATAACCCCTTATATATGGACATTAAAGTATTTGACAGAAATTTAGCAAATCAAATCAGATAATGTAGGTAAAAATACATCATGACCCAGTGGGAAAGAATACCAGATGGTGTTCCTACTTAAAAACTAATCAGGCTGGGTGCGGTGGCTCATGCCTGTAATCTCAGCACTTTGAGAGGCCGAGGCGGGCGGATCACAAGGTCAGGAGATCGACACCAGCCTGGCCAATATGGTGAAACCCAGTCTCTACTAAAAATACAAAAATTATCCGGGCGTGGTATCGTGCACCTGTAGTCCCAGCTGCTCAGGCTGAGGCAGGAGAATTGCTTGAACTTGGGAGGCAGAGGTTGCAGTGAGCCAAGACAGCACCACCGCATTCCGGCATGGGTGACAAAGCGAGACTCCGTCTCAAAAAAAAAAATAATAAATAATCAACCTAATTCATTACAGTAAGATAATAAAGGAGGAAAAAGGTATATGCTCATCTTAATAGACACAGAAAAATATTTGCCATAATTCAACCAATAGAGAGTCACCAAATATGAATTGTGATATTTTCATATAAATAGGCAATTCATAATAGTATATAGTCTATTATTTCATTTATATTAATTTAAGAAACATGCCAAACCCATCATTGTTGCTATAAATCAGGAAATGGCTACATGTTTATAGTGTGTATTGAATAAAAGTATCACAAAAATACTTCTCAATTGACAGAAATATTCTATGTTTTGATTGGGATAGTGGCTTATAGGCGTATTTATTTTTCAAAACTCATTGAAATGTGTATATAGATGTGTTTCAATGTAATAATGTGCCTAAAAACAAATAAAAGGGTAAAGAAGGGCAAAAAGGTAAATTGTATTATAAACATTTTACCAACGTAATAATTAAACCATAATTCACTATGTGACTATGTCAATATTTAAGAGTGTTTTATTGATAATTTATCACGCATCAAGTTTTTCAAGATTTTAAATAATACTATTATAAATGTCTTTCTGAAAACATATTTGTTTATAGTTCATAACATTTCCTTGGAGTTGGATTTCATAGAAGTTGAAAAATTTTCACTATTTGATGCATATTTCCAAATTTCTTTAAAATTACTATATTATTTCCTTATAAATTATTAATCAGCATTGTATGTGTCTTTCTGTAGATATAAATATGTGCAGATACTTATGCGTGCGTATTCACAACTTTTGAGGCAAAATTGGCATACACTAAATTGCACATATTTGAATTGTATAATTTTGCATTTAATTATACCTGTACACCATGAAACAATCATCTCAGTCAACACTGTAAAAAGTGTCCTCATATCTCTTTGGAATCTTTCCCTCCAAAGTTATCACCATATAAAGTCATATAATATAAATGAAAATTTTAGCTGCTGATCTGTGTTCTGCACTATGGACTCCTTTTTATTTTCCATCATTTTATACAATCGAGCTATATTCTATAATCTCTTTTGTTTGCCTTTCACGCAGTACAATAACTTTGAGATTAATGTATATTAATAGTTAAATTTTTAAAAAAAACTTAATAAAACAATTGTTTGATTAATATTATCATATAAAACAACTGACGGCTGTCATTGGGCAACCATCGTAGGGAATTTTGGAGTTGAGATGCATAAAATGAGTCTTGGGATATTATTCTGGGCTTCACTGTAGGTATTTAGATAGCAAACATGGAATAGTGGTATTGATAAGTGGAAGTTGGAGCTGCTATCAAAGACGGAATGTGGATAAGCATCCCATCTATTTGTTGAAAATATTTCTTAGATCCTTGGACAATTTCTGGACTGCAAAAGCACAGAGAAAGACTATGGAAGTTCACAAGGCAGCAGCTGCTGGGAGGCAGAAAGCAAGTGAAGAATCAAGAGTCTTTTGTTGTTGGGAGGGAAATCATTTTTCTGGTTCATCCAGAATGGAAAGATTTTAGCGGATACGCTGTGCTTTCCAAACTAATACAGGACTATCTTAACAAAGCTAACAGTGGGACTCTTCAGCATCAAGGTGCCTACCAGAACAAAGTGAAACATTTTTTTAAGGAAGGATCCATGATTCAGAATTTCAATAGTTTATAAGTATCACTTGTAACCTCCAGAATACAAAAAAAAAAAAAAGAAATAGCAAAAACAAAACCACCCAACACTCTAGATATTTAAAAAGAAAAAGTGACTGATATTAATAAAAAGTGATAAGATTATTAACATGCAGGCCTATAAAAACTCCTGATGTTGTAGTTAGCAGAAAATAATTTCAAAATAACTATGACTAGCATATTAAAGAAACAGAAAAACTATAGAAAATATGTAGATGATGAAATATTTTTACAGAGAATACAATATATACAAAATCAAATGTATATTTTGTATAAGGAATAAAATACAGTATTAGGAATTAGTAAGTCATTGGATGGGCTTAAAAGCAGATTCAACACAGTCAAAGATGATATCAATACATTTGAAGACAAGTCAATAAAAATATGCAAACTGAAGCTGGGAGGAAAAAATAAGAATGAGAGGAACAGAGCATAAGTTAGATCATGTCACATGGGCAGAAGTACTAACATAAGTGTAACAGAAATTACAGAATAATAAAAGAGATATTGACTGGGACATTATTGAAACAATGTTAGGACAATATTTATTGGACAAAATCAATATTTGGAGAAATAACGGTTGAATATTTTCCTGAAAGCTTATAGTAATTCATATTTCCTTTTGGGAGAATTATTAATTTGTGTTCTTAGTATGTTTTCTCTTGGTATTTTAATATTTTCTTTTCCAGTTCTGAAAGTTCTATATTTTATGTTCAATTTTATAGTATCCCTAGCCTCAGAAGTCAATTCTCAAACTTATGTGAGTCCTTATCACATTCCAATATAAAAATTTCAGGCTCTCAATTTCTCATACAGTAGTCCCAAGCTCTGCTCAATATGGTACTACATCCATAGCAAAGTTAGCCCTTCACTTCTTAGCTTTTGAAGGCACTTGTACTATACCTATATTACAACAAATATAATGTTGTTTTGCTTACTGGTCTGTTTCTTCTACACTAATGTGATCTTTCAACAGCTCTTTATTTGTTGCTTTTCTGTAAATATTTCTTGAACTGATGGAAGAATAAAGGAAATGTATCATAAAAAGAGGAGTAAGAAGTTATGGTTTCCAGTAGTACTAGAAAGAAACAGGAAGCAAAAGCTGCAGAGACTGGATTGGATGTTCTCCATTATCCTGACAGTAAATTAGCTTTTCATTTGAATGTTACTTTCTTTCAGAAGAGTTTGATGCATTTTAAGTTGATGCAGCAGTGCATGTTATTAGAGCCAGGAATCATAAATTATTCCTTAAATCATTGAGTCTTGGGAAAATAGAAAGCCAATGAATCACATACTATTTGAACATTGATTTAGTTTCTGTGTAAGCCTATGCTGGTTTGGGTGTATGTGTTTGGCTCCAGCAGGTCTGCATACTTTCTAATTTGCTTGAAAACTGCGTGAAAATATTCCCATGGCCCTCTTGTAAAATATGACAGCCTGACATTTTCTTTAATTACAAGACCCGATCTGTTTAATAGCAAAAAATTGGCCTCCAACTTGACAGGCCTCCCATTTAAAATCAATGGTTAGACTCAAGGGCACCAGCTTGGTCATCAAGATCAATATTAGAAAAAATATAGCTTGTCAAGACCTCTCAGCCTTTTATTGATTCAAATGGGGAGCAGCTCACAGATTGAATCATGATATTAGAGCTCTGATTCAACAAACAGAAGACTGTTACATTAATTTCAGTATAGGCAGATGAATCTGTGATAAACGACAGAAGTATAATATAATTATCCAAGATATTATAGTTAGATAAAGCTGAATGTTTTCAGGAGAAAATATGCATTTTTTGAATAGATTTCTTTAGACTGTTCACCAGGTGAACTAAATAACAAGTGTCATCTTGTCTTACTAAAAACAAAACAAAACACAACAAGAACAAAAACACTAGAAAGTCATCTCATTGTTACCAACGAATAGAAAGAAAAGCACCATGAAAAGAAAAAAAAATACTGTGAGACAACTTGAAGTTTTAGAAAGAATATTTAACTTGAACGAATTAATCCTTAGTTCTAGTGCTGGATAATTATTTGTTACAGTGATCACTGAACATTAGCCTTGATTTTCTTGTATGCCATATGAGGCACTAGGAAAATATTTAAATACTATTCTAAGACTCAGGGAAAGACCATACAACAATTCATGTTAATTCTTTTCATATTTCATTAGGGATCAAAACGAATCTGTATACTTATTATCTCATTTTCACTTCTAATTTGAATGCTAATAGAATGTAGGAATGATAGGTCACACCAGTGGAGAATGGGAAACTGAAGTTGTTCTCAGGAAGATGTTTTGCCTTAATACAAATAAATTTACAACAATCAGAAAAGAGAGTTTATGACTTCTTAATACTTTTAGAAGTTTAATATGTTGTACTTAGCACTATTGAACAGAATACTTAAAAATGATTAACATGGTTAATTTTATGTTATGTGTATATTATCACAATAAATTATTATTATTATTATTATTATTATTATTATTATTATCATCATTATTTTTGAGACGGAGTCTTGCTCTGTCGCCCAGGCTGGAGTGCAGTGGCACGATCTTGGCTCACTGCAAGCTCCACCTCCCGGGTTCACGCCATTCTCCTGCCTCAGCCTCCTGAATTTTTTTAGTTAAAAAAGAGATTAAGGATTTTTGTTTAATTTATATCTAAAAGTTAGAGAAATTCATATTAACAATTCAAACTCTGAAACAATATATAATCTATATTGGAAATATCTACAGTGTGAGCTAATTGAAGTTATTGGGCACTATGGTAGGTATTTTATTTTCTTTACCTCATTTACATATCTCATATTTACCTTTTATTTACCTTGTCTATACGCCTTACATAATTACAACTTTTTTTGTCCACTATCTCATTTTTTTGTGTGAATGCACAATAACCCTAAAAGATAAGTATTATTCTACAAATGAGAAAAATGAAGCTCCTATTTGATAAGTAAATTCCCCAATGTCCAGAGATAATAAATGTCACACCTTGGATTTTAAACCAATTGTCTGACACTTGGATCCAGTTCTTCTACTGTGTTACAAAGCTTAATATCATTTTGCTTATCTTAAAGTCCTAAAGGACAGCTCTCCACTATATTACTTAAGTTACATAGTTTCCTGAAAAATTTGGTAGCTTTGGATAAAATTTCAACATTTCAAGAAATTGTATGAAATTTTAGTTCTTCAATGTATCTTTCTCATAGTTCTTCTAGACATCTTTCAAGATAAAACTATTTTTTTTCTTTTTTTTTTGAGGCGGAGTTTCACTGTGTCACCCAGGCTAGAGTGCAGAGACGAGATCTCGGCTCCCTGCAACCTCCACCTCCTGGGCTCAAGCAATTCTCCTGTCTCAGCCTCCCGAGTAGCTGGGACTACAGGTGCCTCCCAACATGCCCAGCTAATTTTTGTATTTTTAGTAGAGATGGGGTTTCACCTTGTTTGTCAGGCTGGTCCCGAACTCCCGACCTCAGGTGATCCACCTGCCTCAGCCTCCCAAAGTGTTGGGATTACAGGTGTGAGCCACCACACCTGGCCAAGATAAAACTCTCAAACAAAAAACAGAGCTGCACACTTTTCTTCTTATTATATAAATGCTAAAATGGCAATTCTGACTAGCACTAACATTGCTGTGGATTGTTAAATTGCCCATTTATTTTACAGAGAAAAATTGTTTTTTTGCAGTTATCTGAAAGACCGTATATAAAAAGCCTAAAGGTAGGACATTTTTAATATATCACATCAAAGAAAAAACTGACCTAGAAATTTCATTCCTTATTTTGATACATTTTAAGCATCAATTTCCCAGAAACTTTACCAAGTGACAAATTCTTTTTGCTTTATTTAATTAAAACTTTACAGATTGCCAGCTTTTGCTGTTTGTGAAACTCAAACAGATGTTAACAAGCATCTCTTCTGTTAGAATATACTAGGAATAGAGTACCTATTTTTCCCATGACACTTTACACTTTACTGAGTGATTTATTCATGTATTCTTTTTTATCTCATAATTCATTCAGAGAGACAAAGCCCTTATTAAGGCAGTGTTCTAATTGCTGTGTTTTATTTTGCTTTTGTCTGAGGGTAACACAGTTTGCTTGCTCCTAGAGTGATGTACTTCCCTCATTCTGGAATGCTTATGGTTGGAAATTTCTTCTAAATCAACCACTTTGACATTGTTCTGTAAAGAGGGTATTCTTAAGGGTTACTGGATAGGCATGGGAAAGTCAAGTAATATCTAAAATATCATTACCCCAGATCTGTGGGCTAACAGATATATCTATTAGTAACCTTTGCTGAGCATGACATCCTCTTTCTTTTCCACTTGATCTACTTATTTATTTAGTCAAGTAGAGACACAGTCACAACTCGTAGGGAGTCAAAATTGATTTCTCAATTCTTTCTGTGGGCAAAGGCCTTGTGAACCTCACAATAGAGATGACCATACTTCAGGAGTGAAGTTATTGATTGTTTCACAGTAAGAATTGCGGCAAACAATTTGTTTAATCTCACTGGACATCAAGGAATTTACCATCTAAAAGCACAACACTGAAACGTATTTCAAAGCATTTCTGTGATGATGGTGGTTAAGCCATTTTCAAACCCAAGGTAGTGAGTGTGAGTTTAAAAATTTTATTGTGAGTGAACTGCATCCAGATTTGTAAACAATACCTTGAAAATTTGAATTATTACCAGAATAACTCTTAGATTCTCTCCAGAATACAGAGGAGGGAGAACATTTTTGCAAGGAGTTTGGTATTAGACCTGATTCATTCACTTAAAGAAATGTCAACTTCTTTGTCCCGTCAAATGGAGTACTAAGACAAATTGATTTATATGTGAATGATTTTAATCAGATTATTTTCCTTACACAAAGTGTACTAAGGAAATATATATTTTTTTGATGGAAGGATCTATAGGAGATGAGAAGTAACTCTGTAATATGAGACTGTTTAAGGTAAAGTAGGTTTGGAAAGATCAGTCCATTTATAGTGTTTGGTGGGGGCATTAGATTACCAGGCAGGAACAATGAGAGAGGTCCTGTGTGAAGAACGTTAGGGCACTTCAAAGACAAACATAATATATTTCACAAATTTCTCAGGCTTAGCTTTGCTCTCGTCATTTATTCTCCCAGATCAAGAAAAACTGTCATTTAGCTTGAAATCATTTTAGGTGTCGTGACTTCCCAACAACAAGGTACATGAAGACAAAGGACTTGGTGTTGAGACAGACATTAACATGGAAGAAACTTCTGAAGGACCACCCCCAGATGAAGGCCATGCTGAGGAGATTATTCAAACCATTTTTTAGGCCTCCACAAATATGTTGCTTATTAGACACTATGGTGTTACTAAAGGATTAATATAATCTTCAAAGAAGAAATTATGCAGGTGGGAATGAGGTGATGTCCTCAACATAAGTACTGACAGCCCTGTTAACTTTTTAGAACTTTAAATATCAACCATAGGCATTCTTATGCAATCACCAAAGAAAATGTGAAAATGTGGCTCACCCCCAGAGTGAGAATCACTAGTACTGATGAGAAATTCTCAAGTACTTGAATACAGATCACTGGAGGGAACACAGCACTGGTGTTTTCAGCTAAAGAAAGCAGAGGGTACAGCCAGTGTTTAGTAGCATGTAATTGAACTACAGAGATATTAGTTTGGGTCAAGATTTTCTATTTCTTTCCTCCAGTTTTAATCTCGTGTGCCATTTCCTATCTTTGGTAGGTCACAAGCTAGATATAATTATGCTGCCATGTAATCATTTGCTCTAATTTGCATTAAATTGGTTTGAAGATAAATGTGTCTCAAATCTGTAATACTAATTAATAATTGTACAGTCATCTACTATTTAAAATCATGTGTTCTAAGTTTAGTATTTTATATTGTAACACTATCTGTTCAGAACATTTTTTAAATAGTGAGTTAAGCGCTTACAAAAATTATGAGCATACCAGATATTTCAACATATGCATATAGTATAATAACATTTTCCTAACATTTAGAAATTAACTGTCTTCTAAAATCGATAAGCATCTTAATGCATATGGGCTGTAATACAAGGTCAATTGGATTCTAGTGAATAAATATATATAAATACACATGCACTGGATGCATAAAACTTTATGGTTCATGTCACTGCAAAAACATGAATAATGACTAGTTATTTATATAATTTTGTGTGTTTTATCTCCTAAGAGCTATGAAATCTCCTGAAAAATATTTATAGATTGCAGGTATATGTACATGCAATGTTGTATACCTGTTTCTTCAAGTATAACTAATATATGTATAAGCTATATTAAATATTAATATTTACTTAATATTAAATAATATTAGTGAAGTCTAGTGTTCCATTCCATTTTGAGAAACTTCTAAACACCAAAGATAACCTTTTCAATATTTCTCATTTTTGATAGAATTCTCAAGTATAGGATTAATAGTTGTTGTTTTCTAAATCTTCATTGAGATATATTTCACATACCACCATAATATTCACCCATTTAAAGCATGCAGTTCCCTCATTTTCAATGTATTAAGGCTTGCAAAGTTACCACAAACTAAATTTAGAAAATTTTTAATGTTTCTAGCATACAGAAAAGACAATTATTTAAGTGGTGGATGTACCATTTACACTGATTGGACCCTCACAAATGATATGAAGGTATTAAATTATCACATGTATCCTGAAAATATGCATATGTATTATGTATCAATAAAAATATAAACAGCATACCATTTAGTAGTCACTTTCCATTTCTTCCTCTAAGTTATCTAATTTTTAGTATACAATTGTAAATAGTATTTTCTTATCTTTTTATTTCTATAAGGTCAGAAATGATGACTTTCTTTCATTAATGATTTCATTAAATTGTGTTTTCTTTATTTTTATCTTGGTCATTTTAGCTAAATATTTGCCCATCTTGTTGATCTTTTCATCAAACCAACTTTTGGTTTCATTGACTTTTCACTATTGTTTTTATATTTCCTGTTTCTTACTTTTCAGCTTTAATATTTATTCTTTTTTTCCTTTTGCTTGCTTTTAACTTAGCTTGCTCTTCTTTTTCTTTTAAGTTGGAAGATTATTTATTTGAGATCTTTCATCTTTTTTAATATAGAAATTTATAACTATGAATTTCTCTCTACAAACTGCTACAAATGTATCCGACAAGTTTTGACATATTGTGTTTTTCTTTTCCCTCATTTCAAAGTATTTTATAACTCCTACTGAAGCTTTTTGTCTTTGGCCCACGGGTTTTTTTAGTAGTGTGTTTTTTATTTTCAAATATTCAATTTTTAAAACTCTCTTCTCTTTTTCATATTTAATTTAATTACATTGTGTTTTGAGTCCATACTTTACATGCTACCAATCATTTTAAACTTATTTACGATTGTCACGTGGCCTAACTTACGGTCTATCTAGAAGTTTCATGTACATTAAGAAGAGTGCACATTTTTTCTGTTATTGGGTAGAATGTTCTATAAATGTGTAGACTAATTGGTTTATAGAATTGTACATGTCTTCTACTTTCTTGTTTCTCTTCTGCCTAGAGGTTCTATACATTATTAAAAATGGGGTTATGTTCTCCAGCTATTTTTTCATTGTCTATGTTTTCTTTCAATTCTTCCAGTTTTTGCTTCAGGTATTTTGAGACCCTGTTGTCAGATGCATAAATACTTATAATGATCATATCTTCCTGATGAATTGATACTATTTTTATAATACAATGCCCCTCTTGTCTCCAGTAACAATATTTGTCTTATAATTAATTCAGTCTGATCTTCGTATAGCCATTCCAGTTCTCTTGATTATATCTTAAATGGGCATATCTACTATGATTTTACAGTTGATCTATTTGTGTCTTTGAATCTAAAGTGTATCTCTCTTGTAAATCTTGGACCTTTTTTTAATCTTTTTTTTTCAGTTCAGTCAATCTCTGCTCTTTGGGGTATTTAACTCATTTTTACATTTAATGTTATAATTCATAACGTAGGATTTGAATCTGCCATTTTGCTACTTGTTTTCTATGTGTATTATTATTTCTGTTCTTAGATTCTTGCCTACTTTTGTGTCAAATATATACTTCCAGTGTTTCTCTTTTAATATTTTACTGTATTTTTTGAGTTAGTTTAATAGTGTCTGTGCTAGGAGTTATAATTAACATCTCAGTGCAATCCAATTTGGATTAATACCAACTTAATATCAATAGTATACCAAATAATCACTCCAATATACCTTAGGTACTGCTCCCCACTTTTACTATTAGGGCCATAAAAATTATATTTTTATATATTATAACCCCTTCTACACAATAATGTTACAATTATTATTTTATGAAATTGTCTTTTTGAATAGACAGGAAGATGAAAGCATCATGTTTTACAAGTTTACACTGTCTTTTATGATCTCTTTATTGTTACTTTTACCTGCCCTTTTTGTTTCTTCATATGTACTTCTGTTACCATCTACTGCTGTTTCATGTCAGCCTGAAAGATTCTCTTTACTATTTTTGTAGGGCAGATCTGCTGGTGATTAATTCTTTCAGTAGTTTGTTTTAAACCCAGAGATATCATAATTCCTCTCTTATTTTTAAAAGAGAGCATGGCTGAATACAAAATTTTTGATCGATAGTCTTTCTTTTAACACATTGAAAAGAAACTACAGGCAAATATCCTGATGAACATAGATACAAATATCCTCAACAAAATACAAGCAAACTAAATTCAACAGGATATCAAACAAATAATACACCATGATCAAATGGGTTTATTCCAGGTATGCAAGGATGGTTCAACATATACAAAACAATAAATGTAATTCACCACATGAACAGAATAAAAATGAAAATCATATGGTCACCTCGATAGATTAAAAAAAGCATTAGATAAAATACAGCATCTCTCATGATAAAAATTATCAACAAACAAGGCATGAGAAGAAACGTATTTCAAAATAATAAAAATCATATATGACAAACCTACTGACAACATCATAGTCAATGGGGGAAGAGCTGAAAACATTCCCCCTAAGAAGTGGAACAAGGCAAGGACGCCATTTTCACCACTCCTATTCAACATAGAATTGGAAGTCCTGGCCACAACAATCAGGCAAGAAAAAGAAATAAAAGGCGTCAACCTGTCAGAATAACTATTATTAAAAAGTCAAAAAATAACAAATGTTGGCAAGGATGCAGAGAAAAGGCAATGCTTATACACTGTTGGTAGAAATGTAAATTAGTACAACTTCTATGGAGACAGTATGGAGATTTCTCAAAGAACTAAAAATAGAACTATCACTAGATCAAGTAATCCCATTACTGTATATCTATCTGAAGGGAAAGAAAACATTATATAAAAAAGACACCTACACTTGTATGTTTCTCACAGCACTATTTCAAATAGCAGTCACATGATATGTCCCTAAACAGGTGATTGGATTAAAAAAATGTGAAACACACACACATGCGCACACTATGGAATACTATGCAGCCATAAAAAGTATGAAATCATGTCTTTTGCGGCAACATGGATTGAGTTGGGGACCATCACTCCTAGTGAAATAACTCAGAAACAGAAAATCAAATACCACATTTTCTCACTTATATGTGGAAGCTAAACAATGGACATATATGGGTATACAATGGGCAATAAGTGACATTGGAGACCATTCCACATGTCTTTGAGACTCTGTTTATTTTTCTTTACTTCCTTTTTTTGGTTTGTTTCTTAGACTGGATAACCACTATTGGTTTACCTCTAAGTTCACAATTCTTCAATTCTTCCTTTTGCCAGTTCAAATCTGTTTTGAGCCCTTCCAGTAATTTTTTTTGTTAATATACTTGCCAACTTTATAATTTTTATTTGGTTCCTTTTTATAACTTCTGTTCCTTTACTATTATTCTCTATTTGTTGAGACACTGTTATCATGTATTATTTTTATTCATAATACATAATTTCTTTTAGTTCTTTGAACATAATTAGTACAGCTGATTTAAAGTCTTTTGTCTAGTAAGACCAATATCTGTACCCTCTAAGGTATGTTTTCCGTTGGCTGTACTTTTCTTTCTGTATATGTGGTATATTTTCCTTTATTTTTTGGTATGTCTTGTATTTTGTTTATGTTGTTATCGAAAATGTGAAGTTGAAGATAGAAAAAAGAAACACGAAAAGCAGATCAACAATTCAAAGACAGGTTTATTTTGGAGAATAAACCCAAGAGGGGCTTCTGGCTGATTTTGGTCAGGAGCATTCTCTCTTACAGATTAAGGGTATTTAAGGGTTTAGGAAGAGAGCTTTTCACAGGCTGAAAATGTTTTTGTGTGGAGGAGAGTTTTATTGCAGGGTTGGAATGTCTCTGGTTGGAGGGGAAGTTACCTAGGGGCTGGCATGTCTCTGGTTGGAGGGGGGTTTATCTCAGGGTTGGAATGTTTCTGGTCAGAGGTGTCTTTTGAGGTTTATGATTATGCTGACATTAGCCATTAGGGTGATGTTTTTTGGGCTGGATTTAGGCAGTTTTTAATCAAGGGGAACTTAAAATGGCAGTGCCTATCTGAGATGGTGATGTTCCTGCTCTGCCAGAAAACTGGACATTTTAGATAATATATTATAACAACTTTGGTATCAGATTCTTCCATCTGTTAAAACAAACTAAATATGGCCTAAAAAGATTCCGTATTTCTATATTTGAGTCCTTGTGGTTAAACTGTAACCTAGCTTAATAGCCAGACAAATGCGAAAACCTATCTTAATAGTATGCACCTGTTAACAGTGGCTGAGTGTCGACCAATCCCAGTGGCCATACTTCAACCACTCACAGACTGCAGAATGTTTAAACTGCGTTCAAATAAGGCAAAAGCCAAGCTGTAATCAGTCTCGCTATTTCTGTACCTCACTTCCTATTCCTGTATGTCATTTTACCTTTTTTGTCTATAAATTTGTTCTGACCACGAGGCACCCCTGGAGTCTCTGTGAATCTGCTGTGATTCTGGGGGCTGCCCAATTCGCGAATCATTCATTGCTCAATTAAACTCCTTTAAATTAATTCTGAAGTTTTTCTTTTATCAGATGGTACCAGAAGTGGAGCTTCTAGCGACCCCTAGGAGCACTGAGTGAACACGCAAGGTACCTACAGGGCCCACTTGGGTCCTTTAATCTCTCAGAGCAGCTGGAGATCATGGATAAGCTCCCTCTCAGATTTCTGAGCTCCACGGATTTGTGTTTTGAGTTCTCCGAGTTTCTTTGAGCAAATTTCTGATCCAAACTGGGTTTGGAGTCGCAACAGAAACTGCACTGGGTCCAGGAATGGATTTGATACAGGAATGAACTGGCTTGGATCCAGTTAGAGACCTCTTACATCTGACTGGGAGAGAAAGAAACTGGTAGTAAGCGCTAATATTGCAGGGGTTATAAAATTTGTCTTTTGAAAATTCCCAGGGATTTTTGTGTTTTACCCCTTTGTTTCATTTTTCTTGCATGCTGAGGTATGAAAAATCATTGGCCAGGTTAATCAAGAGAACCTGAGATCGAAGCCAGTATTTTAGGTAAAAATGGGATCCTTAGTTTCTAGAAAACTGAGTTCCTTCTGGTTTATTCATTAGGCCCGGAAGGCAGTGAAGTCTTACAGAAATGGCAAAAACTTACTAATGATAACTTACAGTGGAATGTTCCAAGTGAACAACAATCCATTGAAGTACATTTTAAAAATGAGGGCTCTTGGTAAAAGTCCCTCTTGGCCAAGAATGGGTTTGGCACTACAGCATGTCATCTGCTCTTCTCTTTGGATTAATCTGCCTTGCACTCTGTGCTGATGGCTGTGGGTGACAGGATTAGGGATGTACAGGATCGCTGACCATGGGGAGCCTTTTCCTCCCTAAAAGGGGAAACTTGAGAGATGATGGGACTGCTGGGAAAGACCCCTTTGCTACTGAGAAGCAGCTACCTGAACTTTTCAGTGTCGCTTCAATGGATGGGTCTTTCTCTGGCTTCCCTGATCATTTTGCCTTCCTCCCTCTTGTTTTATGTCCTTGGGAGCTTGACCTTGTAACCATGTGGCAGTATTTTCTATTAGTCTTCACCTGCCAGGGAACAGAAATGTTAGGGTTTATGTCATAGTTAGCTCTAAAAATTATCTTGAGTAGTTAAAAGCGTTTGCAAGTTCAAATTTAACTACTCTAGACTCCTTCTGGGAAGGACAATAGAGACTGCCCTGTGCTATAGCTCAGTAGCTAAGACTTTGGCCTTTCACACTGATGGTTCAATTCCCCACCTAGGAAGTAAGCCCTTCTTGGTTTAATATCTGCATAACCTTGTCTAGTCTCTCCTCCATTCACTATCTTAAATTTTCCTTTCTCTGGGCACCTGGGAGGTTACCTTTGGTAAAATTCAAAAGCCAGAAATATTGGCTTTTTGGCCTGGCTAAAATCGGGTAATAAGAAATTTTAAAAGGACTTCATTAAAGAGTACTATGGTTAAAAACCAGCTTAATTAAAAGTGGATATTCAAGCTCTAATAGCCTGGACTCCCTGGGAAAAACAGGAGGCACCAGAAACCACTTTCCTGGCCCTGTTTTTCCAAGGGCTCCACCCTAAAACCAATGTTTGGTTCCATATTCCTGGGAAGACAATCAAAGCTTCAGGTACATTTGGCTACCTGATGAGCCATTTAAATATTTATAAAGAGATTTTATTCAATTGTCATTTGCAGTGCATGCTTTTTGGTTGTATAACAGCTTTTCCATGCAAGAGAGCTGGTATTATAAAAGTAGATTATTATGCTACAGTGTATTTTCACCAGGTAAAGAAAGCTTTTTTATGGCTTACTGAGGATAATCTCTTCACAATCTAGAACCTGAAGATTGGATCTTCTGAGAACATCAGAGAAAGACTATCTCTGCCATTCACACTACAGCAAAATTTGTTAGCTTTGAACCTTGGGTTTATAATCTCACAGCTGAGAAGGGTGCCTCCATACTCCTGGAACTGTACACCCATCGGAACCCTTAAGGTAAAACTAACCAGGAAAGCTTCTCCCCAGAAAAAGATGACATCCTTGATGTGAACAACTTTTCCCAAGATCACAGATCAAGGCTTCTACTCTCACGAGACTCTTATCTTTGAATATTTTTTCCTTGTTTATGCCACTATGAACAATAGAAATTAAAAGGGGGCCTATTAAGTGCACTTATAGGGTATACTTTCATTTGTGAAGAATTTTGCAGCCAGCCTTATAAATGAATAACCTTATGCTTTAATAGATAAAAGATAAAGGCCCAATGTAGGTGAGAAACTTTAGTAGTACGTACGTTGCCTCATAATCAGTCAAAACTCTTTTTTTTTTTTTTTTTTTTTTTGAGACGGAGTCTCGCTCTGTCGCCCAGGCCAGACTGCGGACTGCAGTGGCGCAATCTCGGCTCACTGCAAGCTCTGCTTCCTGGGTTCACGCCATTCTCCTGCCTCAGCCTCCCCAGTAGCTGGGACTACAGGCGCCCGCCACCGCGCCCGGCTAATTTTTTGTATTTTTAGTAGAGACGGGGTTTCACCTTGTTAGCCAGGATGGTCTCGATCTCCTGACCTCATGATCCACCCGCCTCGGCCTCCCAAAGTGCTGGGATTACAGGCGTGAGCCACCGCGCCCGGCCAATCAGTCAAAACTCTTAACCCACATCCTGGATTAAAGAGAACATTGCCAGGAGGCCTTCAGTCTTCTAGAAGGACATCATTTGTTAGGCTCTTTTTCCATGGTTTAGAATAAAAGTGGCAATATTCAGAAATGTCTCACTCATAATAGGTTCTACAGCAAATTCTACTTTAAAGGCTATCATTACACAACAGACTTTAAATTCTCTTGTAAAAGTTATGCTAAATAATAGAATTGGCTAAACAGAAAAGTACCTGTGCAGCTATTGATACTTGTGGCTTATAGAGAAATACATCAAATGTAGATTACAATATTTCAGTTGTAGGGGATTAATGAAAATACTACTTAGTCAAGTGAGTAGACACTTCAGCTAGCTCATTCTTTAACCTATTTGTTTTTTGGTGGTTCGGTTTATGGGAATCCTGGATAAGGAGCATACTCTAAACTCTTGGTCATTTCCCTGGTGCACTGTATTCTCTCAAAGGTTTTAAATGTTTGCGTGCAGCCATCTCTAGAAAGTCAAATGGTCTCTCTTCAACTGGAATGACAGCAGCTGAAAGAAATGTGTGACCATGAGGACACCGTAAACTATGAATGACATTCTGAGACTGGAAACCCAAAATGATGGTAACTGAGAGTGGTGCTAAGGCCCTAAGTTACGGTCACAATCTCATGTAAGTGAAAACCTGGCCAACTCAGTGTATTTATTATTTCCATAAAAGAGTGGACATGTGAGGGGAAAAAAGCAACTTCAGAATTCTGCCAATCAGTTAAAGCCACAAAAATAGCTGAAAACTGCCCAAGAGAAACTACTGAACGTCGTCGACAGTGGTGTCTGTGATGCTCTAAATAAGGAGTATCCTCATTCCACCTCCATCTGTTCTCATTGGCAGAGTAACCAAAATCGCAGCATTGCAGATAATGGAGAAATATAGCCATGTTTACAGTTTTGTAAACAGTAACATCCACAGGGATTGCACTGGATCTGTAGATTTTTTTAAGGTAATATGAAATTTATAACAATATTACTTCATCCAATCCATGAACATGGGATATCTTTCCATTATTTTGTGTGTTCTTTTTAAAATTCTGTGATCAGTATATTACTGGTTTTATTATAGAGATCTTCCATTACTTTGGTTTAATTTATTCCTAGGTAATGTATTTTTCATACTCATTGTAAATGGGATTGCTTTCCTAATTTCTTTTTCAAATTGTTTGCTGCTGGCACATAGAAATGCTAATGAGCTATTTACACTGAGTTAGTATACTGCACCTTCACTAATTTTATTTATTGGTTCTAACAATTATTTGGTGGTGTCTTTAGATTTTGTAAGTAGAAGGTCACGTTTGCAAACAAGGGCACAAACAAGAGAAACTTTGGAACCACTAAATATATGAAAATTAAACAACATGCTCCTGTACAACCAATGAATTAATTTAAAAAATTAGGAATAACATTTTAAAGAGTCTTGGAAAAAATGAAAACACAACATTCCCAAATCTATGGGATACAACAAAAGCAGTACTATGAAGAAAGTTTATAGCAGTAAATGCTTACAGTATAAAAAAAGACTTCAAATAAACAGCCTAACAATGCTCATCAAAAAACTAAAAAAAAAGCAATAACATGCCAAATTCAAAATTAGTAGAAGGAAAGAAATGAGAAAGGTAAGAACAGAAATAAGTAAAACAGAAAACTTAAAAATTACAAAAGATCAATGAATAAAAAGTTGGTTTTTTAAAGATAAGGAAAATTTACAAACCTTTAGCTAGACTAAGACAAAAAGGAAGAAGACCCAAATAAATAAAATCAGAGTTAAAAATAAGACATTACACCTGGTACCAGAAAAACACAAAAAGTCATTAGAGACTATTATGAACAACCGTACACCAAAAAAATGGAAAGCCTAGAATAAATGGTTAAATTTGTGAACATATACAACCTTCAAATATTAA